>NC_000003.12:56070606-56373636 GCF_000001405.40 Homo sapiens
ATGATCTGGCCCTGAACTGCATTTTTAAATAACACTGATAATTGTTATTGCCACTTGCAAGTCACAAAGGACTAGAACATTTATAATATAGAAGTCAAAATGACTCTCCAACTTTAATTATAAAATATATTTGATTGCTAGAAGACGTAAAGAATAGAAAAGCTCCGAAATGTGAAATCTGTTTCCTAAGTGGGCCAAGAAAGTGTGGTCCAGCTATATTAAATTACTTCTAATTCCACCAAATGCACCGTGCTGCCTCTTCCTGCCAAACCTTTGCAAATGCTATTCTCGCTTTGACTGGACCACTACTCCTAGCCCCTCATCTCTCAATTTAGCCATTATCTTTTCCAGGAAGTCCTCCTTATTCATCCCACTCCCCTGGCTAGGTGAGGTGCCCCTCCTATGTGTAGTATACCTGGCTGATAGAGCACACATCATCTACAGTCCTGTAACTTGCCTATTTAGTAATTTTCTCCATGAGTCTGAGTTCCCAGTGGGCAGAAATTACAACTTCTTCAATAATATATGTATCCCCAGTACCTTTGAGGCAGCCAGCTCATTACCGATGCTGAATGTGGACTATTGGATGGCTGGACAGCAGGAGGGCAGGCAAACAAACAGGCCAGAGTAGGGCAATGGTGCCCAAGGCCTCATATGCCATAGGGACATGGAAAGAAGGAAAGGAAAAGTGTAATCAGATTCAGACACTTGAGTACAGCCCAGGCTCTGTCACTAATTAGCTCCATGACCCTACATAAGTCACATCATCCCTCAGGTACTCTATATCTTGAGTGGAGAAATGAAGAGGTTGGACTAGGAGGCTCCATCAAGTCTCTTCCAGGTTTACTGTTGTCTCATGTCTTCCTGTCTTCAAGACTGTCCAGGCTTCATCAGCATAACCAAAGTTACATGTCTTTTAAAATCAAATAATATTGGGTTGTGTACACTAGAGCCCAAAGGAAGAAAAATGGAGCTATGTGAAGACAGTGCCTGTAGATGCTGAATGAATGGATGAATGAATGGGCAGGCTTCCCTGACTCTCTTTAATTGTTCCATTAGAGGGTAACTTTCCTAGCTTTGGTTCCTTTGATAATAAAATACCATTTCATCAATGTCATCTCTAGGAGAAGGACAATTTCAAATCCCTTAGAAGAAAAGCAATGTATACAAAGGAGGAGGCTACTGAATTTGTTGCTTCACAAAGGAGCTTAGTTTTACCATGGAAGCCACAATCTCTATCCAAGAGACATGAAGCACACACAAAGTGACTTTTGAATATCATTCATTGGAGCAAAATGGACTTCTGACCAACAGTATCGATCAATTGGTTAAAGTCACCAAGATGTTTTTTCCTAAACCATCTCACCAACATTGGGGCAAATAATTCCAGCCAAGTGCAGCAGCCATACACTGTTGGTGATTACTTGCCCTGTGGAATTTAATTAGCACTAGAACCCTTGGCATCACCTTCGCACCATGATGAAGACACACTGTATTGGATGTGAGGGCAATCTGGCTGCAACATCTGTCACCCCATTGATGGCCAGGGTTGATTCGGCTGATCTGGCTGGTAGGCGGGTGTCCCCTTCCTCCCTCACCACTCCATGTGTGTCCCTCCCAAAGCTACATGCTTGGTCAAAGAGGACGACATCCCCAATAGAGGAGGACCGATCTTCAGTCAAGGGCATACGAGTAGCTGTGCTCCCCTGTTAGAACCCCCAAGCAAGCTGTCAAGACACACTGTATTAAAGGATGCAAGAGCAAAGATGCCTATTCTTAGGTCCGGTGACATACTGCTACCCTACCAACACAAAATACATATAAATAACTTTCTGTGTAATATATTAAGTTAGATTTTTGTTATATTTTCCAAACCAGGAAAGACACTGTTCAAAAGAATTTGGCAAATCACAAACACTAACCTGGATTATACTTTTTAATTGCAAATTTTTAGGCACTGTATTAGTTAAATCTACATTCAATCTACATTGAACAGAAAATTTTACCCTATCCCAAATGACTAGATCAAATGTATGAAAAGATATATTTAATGTGAATATAGAAATAAGATTTTCAACCCAAAAGGTTGATAAAATAAAGTGTTTTTATTTTCAGTCAGGAAAAAAAGTCATATTAAAGGTCACTATTTTTCAAATGACTGCAATGCTGGTATTAAGCCAAAGAAATTTAAACTGAGTGTTATCTGCTGGGTGGGCTATCTCTGTTCTGTCTCAATCAGATGCTTTATTCCTATTACATGTTCCCTGTACTACACCTGACTAGCACCCCCCTAACAAATTAGTCGATATCATGATAAGAATAGTCAGATCAGTTTTAATAATTGCAATAATTTTCAGGGTTCAAGAGTGTCATACACACTCACATATATAAGTATAGATTACTATATGTGAAAATTGTTAGACAGAAAGAGTAACAGTCCAAACACCATACACACTCATGTGCACACACACAAACATACACGAGAAATTCAACTCTGTAAGCTGCCTAAAATAATGCCACAGAAAAAGTGCAGGTAAAAATGTTATGCATTTCAACTGAGATAATACTGAAAGGTGGGAGAAAGGTCTGTTATACTAAGTAAAAACTTTTAAGAAATGCTACCTCAAGGCAGGGGGCCTAGAGAACCAAGATCAGTAGTGATCCTTACACAAGAAGGAAAGGACTCCTGTAGACCAGGGCTTCTCTGGATGATTATTTATTGGGGGGCAGAGGTGTCCTCTGCATATTAGGACATTTAGCAGCACCCCTGGAATAGACCCTACCCATGAGATGCTTAGAGCATCCTCCCAGCTATAGCAACCAAAAATATCTCCAGACATTAGCAAATGTTCCCAGGGGAGTAGGGAGGTTCTAAGCCTCTGTTACAGGCCCTGGTTAAGAACCTCTGCCTTAGACCCATGGCCACCCTAGTTGTGATCCCAATCCCTGGGACACCAGGCTAGTTCCTGGCTTCAGATGCAAAGTGAGTTTGCCTACACCAAGGAGGTCAGACCTATGTGAACAGCTCACTGCAAAGTGGAGCAGCTTCCCAGACCGTTTCCACTCTGGACTTGGCAAGGAATGAGGGATCTCCCAACTCAAGAGTTCACCTTCGTCTAGTCCAGGAAAGCTGCTTACATGTCTCAAATCATCTTTTGAGGTCTCAGTCCTTTAAGCCAACAACCAAAGGAAAGGGAAACTACCAACAGAGCAAACACGTCAATCCTTTAAAAATGAAGCAGTAAAACAATCTTAGAATGGTACATAAAGAGCTTCTGGGGGAAGAAAAATTAAACAGATATTGAAAGCCACCACAATCTTTCTTTTTTCTACATATAACTTATCATATTTTTAAATACAGACCTGGTGTTATATTTTATTCATGTAATTCGTTCCCTACTTTTTTAAAATTACATTATTTAGTGGCTGCATCTCTGCTGGTTTTGTCCTAAAAAGAGGGGTTCTTATATATCAACCTCAGGTATGTTGCTCAAATTGTAGTTTAGCTAATCTGTAAAAGTTAATGATCCCACTTGTCTCATGAGGGAAGCAGGATCATAAACTAGGAAAAACACCAGAATAGTGTGGTGGTTAAGAATAGCTCCATCCCTTTCCTGCCACGTCACTCTGAACGAGTTCTTCTCTAAACCATAGTCTCTCATTTTAAAAACCAAGATTATGATAGTGCCTATAAGCCATTAGGTCTGTTACAAGAACGCATAACCTAAGGATGCAAATCATTTAGTGCAGTGTCTGGTATACAGTAAGGGTTCAAGAAATAGTATATAATATAATCATTTTATTATAAAAATAATTATTTGCATGGAAATGCAAATAATTGGAAATGACCACATATAACCAGAAATTTCATTGTATCACTCTCATAAAATATCACCTTCCTAACAATCCAATAAATTAGAAGTGAGAACTAGAGAAGGAAGCATTCTCTTTGCAGAATAAGATGATATTCTCTGTAAATACCACATTTCTTTTTATTAAAAAGGAAAATGAAGGAAGAGTGGCGAAACACCCTTACTCAAACCTTCATCCCTTTTTACCTTCCTAGGGTAATAGAACCAAGGCTGGAGATGTTAGGTGTGGGTACAGCAACAGCCATTTCCTCTTCTGTGTTTTATTATTCGTGGTATGGTTCCATCTTGCAGCCTACACAGAACATACCGTGCTGGGAACAAGAGTGGGCTTGACATTTTGCTGGGGCAAATGACTCTCCTCAGAGCTAACAATATTCTTGGGTGAGAAGTAGATCTCAAAGCAATTTCTCCTCTCCCAAGTTCTCATTCATTGAGAATTTGCTGAGCTCATTTATTCACTCAATGCACATTGATCAAGGAGCATCACATGCCAAGAATTTTGCGAGAAGCTGGAGGTATCTTGATGATTATGGTTGGGGCACTCAAGCCCTGAGAGGAAAGCCAACATTCACCAAAGGGATGCATAATTCCAAACTGAACCAAGAAATAGTTCTCTAAGAGTGTAAAACCTCCCCCAGACTGCAGTGTCAGCAAAGACTTCCCTGAGTGACATAAAAACAGAGCAGAAAGCTCAAGTGTAAAGCTTGGAGTCACATATCCCAGACTCTTATAAAGGCAGGGTCTGATTAGATCCTGCCAATGAGAGTCAGTTGTGTGAAGTTTGGAGCTCTGTCCCAGGACTTTGACTCTTGACTGACAGTGCAATGTGAGGGCAGAGGAAAGAGGGTGAGGGAGAGCAGCCGTCAACAGAAAAGACAGCTGACCAGACACTCCTGGTTATGAAATCAAAGTGGTGTTTGCCTTCTCTTGGTCTCTTAGGGCTGCCCTGGTTCTTGATCATCCCCAATCTGGTTCTACAGACCAGATATTGGGACCCCAGATATTCTTACAAAAAATTCCCTTTTGCTTAAGGTAGCCAGAAGTGGCTTCTGCTGTTTGCATCCATCAAGTGATTTCCTTCTGGTAACGTGCCATATGTTGTTCTCCACTGCACTTATATTTAGGATTATGCATGTCTGTCTCCACAACTAGACTGTCAGTTTCTTGAGGACTGGAGATTGTCTCATTTCTCCCTGAACCTCCAGGACCTACAGTGGTGACTGACTGACACATAGGAAACACTCAGTAAATGTGAAATGAATATGATGTTGCACATGTTCAAAAAATTAGGAGGTTTGCCAATAATAAGTATAAAAGCTCAACTAGATGTTTAAACACTGAGAAAGAGCTCAAGTGAGTCAAAAAGTCCTCCACACTTTACTTCAATTTTACACTAACAGGGAAATCTCTATGTTCTGTATCTATCTTCTCAGGTATTACTATAAAAAAATTTTTTTTTCCAGAAGAAACTCAGTAATCCCACAGTGTCCTTACCCCTGAGGTTATCATCATTCAGAATTTTCACCACCATACTTCCAAATAGGTAAAATCAACCTGCTGAAGTGGAAAGGTCCATATACACCACTCCCAGGAGCCAACTCCATTCACCCCTCTCTACCTTTTCCAACCCACAGGGCAATCCACAAAGTTCAGTAGGCAGCCAGTGGACTTGGCTTCCAGAGAGATCGCCATCTGTTTTTCTACCTTTAATAAATAAAGTACCTCTGCTCTATAAATTCACATTGTTTATGGGACTAAGGCCTAGAAAGAAAATGGAGATAGAATTTTTGTCCAATTTTAATGGGTTTAAAAAAATTCGTGGGTAGCAAGTTTATGCTGTAAGAATCTATGTGTTACATAACAGTCTGAATTTGATCGGGTTCAAATAATGCTACCATGTCCTAAAATCCTGGGCATTATACACTTTCCAAATGTACAATGTCATCAGGTTTTATGACATTTCCTACAAAAACTCAATAGTCAGGTAGCACTTCATCAGTTACAGTTTAAATTCAGGTATGGGAACAGAAAACTATGGCTGCAGCATGGAAACCATACCGCTCTTCTGATTTCAATGTCACAGCCCCACGGGAACATTTCACTAAACACTTTTCATACATGTGCATTTTTGTCCCCTGCTAAGAGAACTCCATGTCTTGGAATTACAGAGTACAGCCAAAAGTATGTTAGTAGGGCCAAAAATCCACTCTAGATGATCTCTGTCTTCCCACAAAAGCTTCATCAGAGATGCTCCTCCACCTGGGGTTTTCTGTTTATTCAGCCTCACTTCCTTCTTCAAGTGATGAAATGCTTAGAGCATCATGTCCATGCCTGTCTACATGGCTTATGGAGCACACAAGACTTCTGAGACTCAGAGCTCTGAAGGCAAAGCTGACAGATATGAAATGCAAGCCTAGCTTTGCCAGGGTAAACGTGGCCAGGAAAGGAGCATACCTAGTTCTACTGGCATCAAAACAGGGTTGCGAAAGAGTCTATGAGAAAGAAATATTAAGTAATACTGCATGTCTGACATTGACATGAGCTTATTATTCTTCCATGCCAACACACCCTAATCCAAAGCTTATGCTATTCCAATCCAAGCCTGCCCTAAAACAGCCAATTATGCTGAATGCAGTCTAAGCTCCAAGGAGTCTCCAGACTTAAAGACAATGTTTCATTGGCCCATTCGTTTTTGTATTATTTCTACATTTTGAGTCAGCTTCTAAATCATATGCATCACTTCTCTAGGGATTATTTCCCTTTCACATTGCAGGTATAATAGAGCTCCTGTGGCTTTGCTACATTGCCAGTGGTTTTATTTCCTTCCCAAATGTATTGGTAAACTTGGTTTAAAAACCTGAAGCTGAGCAACCTCTCCAAATAAACATGAAACATTTCCAAACCCATTATCTACATGACTTCAACAAGTGATATCATAATCATGTTGCCGAAAGGAGCCATAATATACAACTGGTTTTGTTCTAGAACTTCCAAACTGGTTCCCAAACTTTTGAGTCTGGCTGTGGAGGGAAGTTTAAAATTCTGCAAAACATTTGCATTGGCAAAAGTGGTCATTTGTCACTTATGCATTGGAAGTGCCATCCCAAAATATTCACTGAGAAAACTGTTGTCATTTATTCCTCAAGAATGAGCGCACTTAGTCTCAACTTCTGACAAAATGAACAAGTGTGATATTTTTCCCTAATTCACTCTCACACCTGGTGTCATCATCCTAAAAAGTGAAATTAAAAAAAGGCTTATTCTCTTAATTTACATTAATTATTTTATTATATATTCCTAAAGACAAAAAACACTTTTATCTAGGCTATGTGATCTTGGGCAAGCTTACCATAAGCCTCAATATTCCACAATTCCTTAGATTAATAATTGTGCCCATCTCACTAGGTAGTGGTCAAAAGTAAGTAAACAGTGCATGTAACAAGCACTATTTACATGAGTAAACAGAGTAGTCAGCATACAGTGTTCCATATAAGCAAGTTCAATAAATGTAAGCTTTTGTTATTATTTGCAGCCGGAGATTTTAAATGAAAAATCTTCTTCTGAATCCTTAGAACATGCTCCAAGACAGGCTACTATAACCATCTCTCTGTTATTCCCACGTATCCTAGACAGCCCCTTTGATTCAAGGGTCCTTAGTAATCTCTCCTGAGCTCTCTTCTAAATTTCTGTGTCAATTAGCTAGTGCTACAAGAGGAAGAGGATCCAATGACCAGGACCTTGTCCATGAAGAGCTCTACAGAAATGAATTAATAATATGATTCATCAAATCACCAATATCCTGAGAGTTTCTAACGAATGCAGTGTCTCTACTTTTAACTCTTTGGTAAAGCCTCTATAATTTGGTTTGAATCTAACTTTGTTTTTAAAATGTGACAGACTCTATTCTGTACATGAATGTACCATTTAGGCTCTGGCTGACCATAACAGAACAGGAAGAGACTCACTGGCTCTCAGAGTTTAAGAAAGATTACAGAACTCACTTATGAAAAGACAAAATCATGGGGAATATCCTAATAGATATTAGAATGCATTGATAATCTAATCACAGCCTCTGCACCGAAACAAATGAATGCCAGCTACTGTTGTCATCTTTGCATAGCTCGGTCCTTGAATCAAATTCACAAGAACAAGTGCTCCTGGCAGTAGGGGGTGAGCATGTAACATAACCTTGGCCAATCAAATGCTCCTACCCAAGACTTTAACTCTGGAGCAAGTTCATTTATCCATTCATTCAACAAATATTTATTAAGCATTTAGTATCTTTTGGGTACTAAACATACGGGGGAAAAGTCTGCCTTTTTGGAATTTACATTCTAGTAATATGAATGAACAATATATATATTTAAATATATATTTATTTATATTATATAAATTTTAAAAATACATATACACACAAAAACACATTTGTCAAATGGTTAAAAGTTCTAATTAAAAAAATAAAACTGGATGAGAGAAGACAGAGGGCAGGAATGTGGGTGGTCATGCAATTTTATGCAGGATGGACAAAAAAGGCCTGTAACAAAGCACTATTTGAACAGAGACCTGAAAGAAGCAAAGGCATGAGCCATGTGGCTATTTCGAGCAGTTCTGTCAATAGGAACATAATGTGAGTCACACAGGTAATTTTAAGCTTTCTAGTAATTACATTAAAAAAAGTAAAAAGAAACAAGTGAAATTCATTTTCATTTACCTGATATGTCCAAAATATTTTCATTTCACCATATAATCAAACTAAAAATTGATTCACGAAAGCGCTTCCATTTTTTTCATAATAAGTCTTCCAGATCTGATGTGCACTTCACACTTAAAGCACACCTCAGTCAAGGCCTTAATCGCTACAAGTGGCTCGTGACTACCACAATGGGCAGCACGGGTTCAGAATGAGAATGTCCCCATAAAAGCTACAGTAAATGTCAGGTACCAAGACAGCATGCCTCATGTGTCTGCAGAAGAACACAAAGGCCACAGTGACTGATGTAGTCTGAGCAAAGGGGAAGGCAGTGAGACAGGAGGCCAGACTGGCCAGAGGGAGCCCAATCCTGCAGGGTGTCCTGGGCCTTCCACTGTTACTCTGAGTGACAATGGAAGCCAATGGAGGTGGGGACAGCTCCATGGACCTCTGACCTGTGCAGCTGCACAGGTCCCTATGCTTGGTTTAAGGCTCTACGGTTACCATCCTGAAATTCTCAATTTTGGGACAGGGGTGTCATGTTTACATTATGCAATGGACCCCCAAAATTATGTAATTGGTTGTGACTGGAGAGTTTTTATCAGAGAGTGACATGAACCGTTTTATGCATTATGAGGATTAATCCAGTTTCTGTGTTAAGAATAGGCTGTAGGAAACATGACAAGAAAAACATCTGGAATGCTGTAGATCAACGCCAGGTGAGAAATGATGATAGCAGGTGACACCAAGAACAGGGGACAGTTAGTTCCATTTGCTGCAGCAGAGCACCTGACAACATGCCTGTGGATGGCAGCATCCAGGTCAGAGGCTCCTGCGGCCCACCATTGATTTCCACCTAATTTCCTCTCTGGCCCCCTGTTCATCTGTGAGCCTTGTATCTTCCCAACACATTTTATTTTTTTTGTAAAAGAGCAGCCATTGGTTTCTCTTCACACCCACCCTTTTACTAAGAGAAGGCAGGATACTCAATGGCCCCACTAAAACTATATACAGTAGCAAACAGAAATTCTCCAAAAGAAAATCGGGAATGCTATCACAAAATCAGGGTCCCCTATAAGGGAGAAATCGAGCTGCTAAAGGAAGGAAGGAAGAGCCCTAACAAGGTCAAGCATCTTCTGTGTTGCATCACTGTGGCTGGGAATTATTATACATTCTTTCCATTGATTTCAATTAAGTAATGGGTATAAAACATTACCCCTGCCTCCCAAAAATCTATATGGGCTTCACAGAATAGGATCTACTACAGTTTATGTGACTATCAAATGTATCTAAAATACATTCAGGACCCACAAATACATTGCTAACTCTCAGGAAGAAAAAATTAACTTTTGGGACCTTTGGTTATTTTAGATTTGTATCTAAATTTGTACAATTCTCTCTATGTTTAAGCTGCTGAATAAAAAATTATCATCACTATTTAGTTTCTAGGTAATCAAATAGAAAATTCATCAAGCAACGCTAATATTGACATGATGCAACTACCAGTAAGTGAAACACCAGTATGAAAATCAGCCTATTCTTCCTAAAGATTCGTAAAAGATCACTTATTTTCCATGTGCTCAAAATTTTTCTAAAATGACAAAACATGGATGATACCCCACTTGAAGGTCTTATGTCAGCTACTCACCTTTTTCTGAAGAACATTGATTTTTCTTTCCTTCACTTCTAACATATCTTTCATGTCACGAATTTCACCGGCCAGTGTCCCCTTCTCTTCTGTGAGGTCCTGTAGCTGTTTTGTTTTTTTATTGAGGAAAGATTCTTTTTCTTCCAGTCGTAATCTCAGCGCATCTACCTGAAATCAGGAAAAAGACAGAAGGTTGTGGTTTTACAGAAAGGTCATCAATAACCATCAATTGTGCCCTTTGAGGAGGCAGGGCAGCAGCATGTTTACTGAGCAAGGCACAATGGAACCACTGCTCATGGCACCTCACTGCCCTGCATTTTAACAGCCTACATCCTTCTTAAAGCCCTATTGTGTGCACATCTCAATAGTGATACTTTAAAAAAAAAATAAGACTTCTTTGAAATAAGACATTATGAAATAGTAGTAGGTTTCCATGTTTGTTTCCCTACTACAACATGTTTGTCTAAGCTTGGAAACAAAGCACATCAATACTCCCATGTCTCTCTGAGAGTCCAGGGAGGATAAAATACTGCTCAAGCTTTGCAGCATCGTCCTGAAATACGGAGAACACAATGAGCCATGCCATGGACATCCAGAGGAACAAGATTGACATGTAGAGAAACACTCCTAAATTAGAAAAATACATGTTGCCAAGAGGACACTCATGCTGCTGGAGGAAGAAAATAAGATAGAAATGAAACACCCATGCTCCAGCCTCATGAGACTGCTTTCCAAATACTTTTAAAGAAAAAAAAAGAAAAAGACAAAGCATACAAAAAAAAATTCCTCCTTGTAACTCAGCTCTAAAATTTAAAAAAAATATAATTCCTGCTTTCAAATGTTGTTAATAAAAAAGAAAATATAAGTTTTTTTTTTAATTTAACATTCTGAAGCCCATGTGCAAAGAAAGGTCTATTTCTAGACTACTCAGATTAGATCATAGAAAAATATCACTGGGGTGGTAAAAAAGAAATGAGACAACAAAAAGAATATGAAGACCATCAGAATACCATTTTGAGTTAATTTTCTGTAGCATTTTTAAATTGTACTTTTTTGATATACAACACCATATTTGCAACCATGTTTATAAATGTACACTAATCCAGTCTTAAAATGCAACTGTGACAAACACTTTATTTGAAGGATTATTGTCCTTAATTATCGACAATGACAGACTATGAGATTTCCAAGAGTCTTGTTCTCAGCTAAACAATGACATTCAATAAGTTACTCCCAAAGCATTTACTTTTTTTATTGGATATATATATTAAAAAGATTAGGACCCTTTGCCACAATTATCTTGCTGCCACTTCAGCAGATACTACTGTTATGGTCTGAATGTGTTGCTCAAAATTCATAAATTGAAATCAAATCCCCAATACAATAATATTAAAAGGTGGGGCCTTTAGGAGGTGATTAGGTCATGAGGGCAAAGTGCCTCATGAATGGGACTAATTGCTACATAAAAGAAGCCCAAAGGAATTCATTCACCCCTTCCACCATGTGAGAACACAGCACGATGGCACCATATATGAAGCATTGATTGATCTCTCATCAGACAAGAAATCTGCTGATGCCTTGATCTTGGACTTTCCAGCCTCTGTAACTGTAAGACATAAATTTCTGTTGTTTATAAGCCACCCAGTCTCGGTGCTTTGTTCTAGCAGCCTGAATGAACTAAGACAACCACCATGATTTATTTTTTCTGGATCATTAAAGACACCTTAACACTTGATTGTATGTCAAAGCCAGGGTTAGAACAATCCAGGAACTAACTCTTCAAGGATCAGTCCTGATCCCTTTGGCAAAGGATGTATGAAGTAACTCTTTGTCAGTCCCCTTGATGTGGGAAAGGAATATGTTATGTTTACTACAACAAATCAAAATTAAATAAGATCATATGGAACAGGGGTCCCCAACCCTTGGACCAGTTCCGGTCCAGGGCCTGTTAGGAACCAGGCCACCCAGCAGGAGGTGAGTGTCGGTCAAGCATTACCACTTGAGCTCCACCTCCTGCCAGATCAGCAGTGACACTAGATTTTCATAGAATCTAATGAACCTAGATCCCTCACATGTGCAGTTCACAATGGGGTTCACTCTCCTATGACAGTCTAATGCCTGATGATCTGAGGTGGAACAATTTCATTCCTAAACCATCCCCCACACCCCACACCTCTTCGTCTGTGGAAAAACTGTCTTCCACAAAACTGGTCGCTGGTGCCAAAAAGGTTGGGGACTGCTGATATAGAAAGTGTAAAAGACATGTCCACAAAATGATTTTCATAGAGATGCCCACAGCAACATTGTTCATAATGGATCACACAGGAAACAACACAAATGTCTATCAGTAAATGAATGGATAAATAAAATGGTGGTGTTTTTATATGGAATATTATCTATCCATAAAAAGGAGTGACCTGCAGATATACATAATAACATAGGTGAATCTCAAAAGCACCCCGAGTGAAAGAATCTAGAGGATTTATGGCATGACTGTGTTTCCATTTCTGTGAAATTCTAAAAGAGGTGAAAATAATCTATGAGGTTACAGAAATGAGAGCAACAGTTGCCTGGGGTGGAAGCTGGGAAGGGCTGATTATAAAGGGACAGGAGGGTGTTTTTCTGTTCTCTAAATTGATTAGGGAGAGTGGAGAACAGTTACCTGGTGTACAAAATTGTCAAAACTCATTGAACTGTACATTTTAATAATTTATACTTTGATATAATTATAATTTATATTTCAATAAATTTGAAAAATATATGAATACATAACTAAGAATTAACAAATATCTTACAACAATGTCTTTCATGAAAGAGAGAGGTCAAAACAAAACAAAACACCAACCTGGGAACTAAATTACCTTATAACACAACTGGGAGAATGAAGTGGGGGTTGGATAAGGTTCCCATGGGTGATGAGGTATTGAGGTGATGAGGTATTGGGGTGATGGAAGGACTTAATCTTCACCCTCCATAGCAGGAAGTCAACAGATAGTAGCTATACCAGCAATCAGGAAGTAGAGAAGCAAGTAGGTTATTTAGAGATATCAAAATAACCGAACAAGAAGAGTTAAAAGGGTTTGTCTTAGGGAAAAAAAAAATGGAACAGGGGAAGTAAAGGATTGCTGCATCTCATAACAAAAATTTTCAAACATTTTGCTTCCTTATCCTATAGGCAAGTAAAATTTGAATGGAAAGAAAAAAAAAGAATAAAGAAATCAAAAACAAAAATGATACAAGAATGCCATAAGAAACCAATAGAAGATATACAAATACCCAAAAAACATATGAAAAATGCTCAACATCACTAATCATCAGGGAAATGCAAATCAAAACTACAGTGAGAATACCACCTTATCCCAACCAGAATAGCTATTCTTAAAAAGTCAAAAAACAATAGATGTTGGCTTGGATGTGGTGGAAAGGAAATGCTTATACACTGCTGGTGGGAATGTAAATTAGTAAAACCTCTACGGAAAACAACATGGAGATTTCTCAAATAACTAAAAGTCAATCTACTATTCCATCCCACTACTGGGTATCTACCCAAAAGGAAAGAAGTCATTGCATCAAAAAGATACCTGTATGTGTATGTTTATCACAGCACAATTCACATTTGCAAATATATGGAATCAACCTATGTGCCTGTCAAAGAATAAGTAGATAAGAGTAGATAAAGTATGATAACAAATAAGATATATATATGATAAGAATGAAATAATGTCTTCTGCAGCAACCTGGATGGAACTTCACTTAGGCCATCATTCTAAGTGAAGTAACTCAGGAATGGAAAACCAAATACTGCATGTTCTCACTTCTAAGTGGGAACTAAGTTCTGGATACACAGATGCATGTGAAGTCGTATAATGGACATTGGAGACTTAGAAGCAGGAAGGGTGTGAGGAGGATGAGGAATAAAAAACTACCTACTGGGTGCAAGGTACACTACTCAGGTGATGCGTACACTGAAATCCCAGACTTCACCACTATACGATTTACTCATGTAACCAAAAACTACCTATACCCCTAAAGATACTGAAATTTAAAAATTAAAAAAAAAAAAAAAGAAAAGTTCAGGGCAGCAGAGGGTGGCATTTAAAAGAAAAAAAAAGTCAATAGGAACAATAGAAAGAGGACACTTAGGTTTTTAGGACTGGTTCTGCTTTTAACTGCCTGAGAGGATCAGGACAGATAACTCTCATTTCCCCTCCCCAGCCTTTCAGCCTCAGTTTCTCCATCTATAAAACCAAGAGGTGTGAACAGATCATATCTGACATCTTAGGATTTTTAAAGGCAGGAATCCGTTTTTGGTAGAATGCGTCAGGGAAGGATGATGATATTAGCGATAAAGAAAAATTATTGGAGTAGAATATCCTTTTCTTGCTCCTTGCCAAGAAAGGGGTACCTAAGTTGTGTTTCTAAAGGTCAAAGGTGACAGGGAAGTTGGGGGAGTAGAGAGTTTTTCCAGTTTCTGCTCCAGTGAGAAGGATGAAGCTGGGAGGTCCCCGTAGGGGAAGGGTTGGTCACAGATGTGTGGAGCCCCCAAGCCCTAATGGCCCTGACTGCATTACAAGAGAGAGTGGACATTCTGTGACTGGGGAGGAGAACGGCAGATTCTTCAAATAGCTGATAGCTGTGCCCCTTCTCACATAATAGCCAGAAAGATACAGGGCCTGGAAAGGTGGAGGGATACTCACGTCCTGGGGATCTTCCTCTTCCTAAATGAAAATTCATGACAGGTGCACTAAAGATGATGCCCTACAGATGGGCCACAGATTCTCATGTGGCCCATTTTTGTTTAAAGTTACCTTCATCTACCAGCCTGGCATAAAACCACTCTTCTCTGTAGGTTTTCATTATATCTGGTGAAAAAATATGATTTTTGAGTTTATGCACAAATATAGGTATTTGGTGGATTACTGGAATATTGGCAGAACATGCTGAACACTCTGGATTATAGCAGTGGTTATAAAGGGGTTACAATCAATTGTAGATATTTGCACATGGGCTTACTAGGACTCAGTGTGATTCTGAGAAGAAACACATGACTGAGGTCCCATTTGCCCTGCATCCTACCTATCAAAGCTGGATGGTCTATATCTGGACTAAAGGAAATGCCTAATATCCAAACTGTGATATAAATAAATTACAATATGGGAGGTAGTGAGTGGTGCTGGAGAGAGTTTAGAAAAAGACACTCTGTAATCATGAGAGAGAGAGTCAAGGGCTCTTAAAATTATTTGGTGTTGAGTGAAGAGGCAGAGAAAAATATTCCATATACCCAAACATTTTAACTTTTATGTCTCTACCTGATGTTGGAATGTAATCTAGACTTTAAGGCTTAACATTTATAGCACCTTCTCGCCATGTGTGATCTATCAGTGCCCTGTCGCATCTTCCCAAGCCCAGAAGAGATAAAAAACAACCCTAGCCATGAGAATATTTCTCCAGAAACAAAATGGAGAGCGAGGATGGTTGTGATCAGCACGTTACTCAAACACCCAAATTCAACATGGCAGGAGGGAGCCTGTGCCAGCTGAGGTCTTCTGTTTGGGGGGTTTATTTTCCATGCACTGGAAAGTGTGTACTTAACTTCAAAGGAATTTGGGTCGTGCCTTTCAATCACCTTCACTCTGTCTTTAAAGTTTTGCACTAGAAATGGGCTTCAGGGTCTTCTTTTTTTTTTTTTTTAAGATGAAACTTTGACATGAACCACAGGCAATTCACAAGCAACATTAGCCCAGTGTGCAGTAAGCAAGTATGACATCATCTCTAAAACCAAATATGAACTTCCACATGGTGCAAAACCACAAGCAGGCACACAAGCCTTTGGATGCACCAAAGTTTAAATACAGGGAAGATAAGGCAAGAAAAAATGCATTCTATTAAAAATTAGAATATCTAGTTCCAAATTAGGTATCAATGACTGAAATTAAAGTTCCCCTCACTAATATTCTGACTCCACTCAACAGAGTACATCACTTAAAACAGAATCAGAAAAGCCTGAAGTCTAGATTATACTCCAACATCAGGTAGAGACATAAAGTTAAAATGTTTAGGTATATGGAATACCTTTCTCTGCCTCTTCACTCAACACCAAATAATTTTAAGGGCCCTTGACTCTCTCTCTTAAACTTTGGCAGTTGACTCAATAATAAAACTTGGCAAAGCAAAGAGCACCATCATTTCCCAGAAAAACAAAAGAAAATTAGAACTGTATGATATAGTCCATGCACAAAGACCCAGAAGGTTGAATTTCCAATTTTTACATATGACTTAACCACATGGGAACTAGTCATCTAATGTTAAAACTAGGACAATCTTTCCATTTTAGGAGAATTGCTCATTTCCTTTTGATCCATTTGTGTGTGTGTGTGTGTGTGTGTGTGTGTGTGTGTGTGTAAGAGCATGTGACATATGAAAATTTAACCTTTTATCTGGCAGTATAAAACATAAAACATTTGTTTTCACTTCAGTTCCAGGTAATAACTTGAAAGAAAAGAACCATGGCAATGAAATTGGCAAAACGTTGCCAAAATCAGAGTTAAGCATTATTAATCTTCATGTCAGCACCCAGGAATTATAACCAGTTCCAATGGTGAGGTATGTTTCCAGAAGTTCTATACATAAGACACTCGACCTTTCTGCCGTATTTTATGTGCGCCTTCAGAAACGGTTTCAATGTTGTGACAAAACACTAAGTGCTACTTGATGTGCCATAAATAATTTCTAAAAATCAAACAGTTCATTTCAATCTTAAAATGACTACTGCAACACTTGAGAGAAAAAAACACCTGAGGGAGAAAAAGGGGCCACTTGAAAATTTTCACAGATTAAATACTACTTGCTTGACAACGCTTCAAGAATTGAATAAACAGGCTATCACAAAGAAAAACTTTAAAAGAAAATGAAACTGGAACACTCACAAAAGCTCCCAATATAGTTTTATTTCACATTCAAAGCTTCATTTGTTTGTTTTTCCTAATCGTAGACTTGAGTTAAGGGTATATTTGAATTTGATTCAACCTGCAATCATTCAAACAGGAGACAGTTTCAAAGTTGGAAGTACGCATAATGTACACAGTCTCCAAAGACACAAACACTAAAAATAACCTAAAATCTAAAACTTGCTTGGTAGTAACGACTAGTTCTCACTCACATCCAACTCTCCTTTCCTCCTGAAAACAGGAAAGATCACACTTCTCAGGCGCCTTTTGGGAAGATGAAACGCTGTGTTTTCTTCAGGAAATGTAAGCAGAAGTGAGGTACATCACTTCCTGTCTGTTCCATACCACACTCCTTTTCTTCCTCAGAGATCGTAGAGGCTACACTTTCCAGATGGTGGAGATACAAGATGGCAGAACCTTCCTAAGTCTGGATCCTCAAGTGACTGTGAGAAACAGGTTCTCCCCCAAGTCCTCAATCCTTAAAACGGGTTGGACTTACAGTATGATGGGTTAAATAGCTTAGAAATTATTACAATAAACTCGTATGATTTTGCTGCAAAATAGGCACCTTAAAACTAAAACTGTTTTTTTTGTCTTAGAGATTGTCATGAATCTAAAGAATTAGGGCTATGGTACTTCCTTTCACTCTTTCTATATATAGGACCTTCAACTTCCCTTCTCCTTTCATCCCAAATCCAAAGAAGGGGGAAAAAATGACAGAGGGCCAAAGACAGAGCTAAGAGGAAGAAGCAGTAGAACCTTGGGGGAGTAGACACGGGGGTTAAAGATCAAAGCCTTGGGAAAAAGAGAGAAAGACAGACTGAAGAGGAAAGATCCCCTTAAGCTCATCAACTTGAGTTTCAGTTTGGATAGACAAGCGGCTCAGGTGGGTATGTTTTGCAACATCCTCTGCAATGCAAATATATATGTTCAACTAACTCATAACAATGGCCTTTCAAATGTCATGAACATTTCTAAGGTATTACAAGGAAAATGGAGATAATAACAGTACGTCCTTCATTGAGTTATTTTGAGTATTAAATTAAATAACACATGTAAAGCACTTAGCATGGTACCTGGCACTTAGAAACCCTCAATAAATTTTTGCTATTGTTATTATACTTTATTATTCTACTTTTCACAGCCTCTAATTCAGTGATTTATATACCGCAGGAATGCAATAAAGGTTGCTGATCAACAGCAGCCCTCAGGAAGAGTGGAGAACCAGCAAATAAGGTTTTGTGCTCTAACATGTACTGAGGCGTTATATTGTTTGACATTTACTTAAAAATATTTCAGCATACACTCTATGGTATGTGTGCAGTGTGGAGGGTTGTGTGGGTGGGTGGACAGATGGGTGTATTACCCAACTGGGAATAAGTCCTCCAGAGTTAGTTAATTAGCTATGAAAGACTTTAATTAAAAGCTAACATTCCAGAGTCAGCTACCAAAAATACCTCAGTATTCTTTATATTTGATGGACAACTGAAAATTGTCAATTAACATAATTTATGTGAGGAGTGATTTCTCCCTGGTGAAGTGAATGGTATTTGAGATCTGTGCAGTGGCTAGAAATGTTGCACAGGCATGTCCAGTCTTCCAAGAGCAAGGTTTAAGACTGTGTGTCCAAAATAATTAGATGCAAGCCACATTTGTACTTTTACATTTTTTAATAGCCCCATTTAAAAAGTAAAAAGAAACATTGAAATTAATTTTAATAAAATATTTAATCTATTATATCTAAAATATTATTACTCAACCTGTAATCAATATGAAAAATATTGAGATACTCTACATTTTTTGTATTGTCTTCAAAATCTAGCTTTTTTTTAATACTTTTAGCACATCTCAATGAGGATTAGCCATATTTCAGGTGCTCAATAGCCATATGTGGCTCATGGCTACCATATTGGACAGTGAAGGTCTATGACTCCTGTAAGCCCAAAAGCTTCAACCCTTGGAATGGAATCCTACCTAGGCTTAGAATTTCAATCTCCCTTGCATATTGATGATTCAGGGAGGATTCTGGCCCAACAGCAAACAGACGGTTGGCTGAGCCCTGTCACAAGACATAGCATCACACTGACTTAGAGAGAAGCTTTCATGGACATGAAGCTTCCAGAAAAACAGAGAGCTGAAACTTCAAGGAGTGCTCAGGGAAGTTGTACAGCTGTGATGTACTACATAGAGGCCAGGTGGTGGGGCAGGAGTACTGCCTTCTTCCCTTCTCTAACCATCAGGGGCTACTGACCTCTACAAAAGAAAATTTTTGACGAATAATCATCAATGACCTTGATGGCTGGTAATTCAGCTAGCATGAATCTTTCTGGATTCTTGATGAAATAAGAACTCAGAATAATCACTGCTTTCAAAAACTCTTTCACGTCAATCTCTAATTATAGCAAAAGTTGCCTTTCAGAAAAAAATGTCCTTCAGCAGCTGCATCATCAAAAACTGGCTCTACGGATGAGGGTGTGCCCATCTCTTACCCTATGCTTGGTTACATCCTCCTGCTCTTTAACTTCTGCAGCTATTTTAATTTCAGATTTCTCTCCTGTCTGTAGTTAACCTTTTTATAAGCAGTAACCAGAATCACTTCTTCATTCATTCAATAAATATGAAGAATCAATTTTGTGCCAGGCAACATTCTAGTGTTAGGGATATAGCCTTTTAACAAGACAGTCAGGTTTGTGATTTATTGAAACATACGGTTGTAAGGTTGGAGGTAGTGGAGGTAGAACAAATAAGTATTATGTCAATATCATTTAATAAATACAAGTTTTAGCATAAGAGTGGAGTAAAACAGATATAAACTCTAAGAACTTAAATACTTAAATAAAAGCCTTGTAATACTAAATTCAAATTGGAAATATTATGAATACATGATATATTTTCATATTTTCTTTTTTTTTTTTTTAGATCTGGGTTTGTTACGTAATGGTGAGGTTTGGGTCTTCTAGAGTACGCATCACCCAAATAGTGAACATTGTGCCCGATAGGTGATTTTTCAATGCTCCCTGGCTCCCCCTACCCTTCCTCTTTTTTTTATTTCTAGCTTTGTCCACTGTAGACCTAGAAAAAAAACTGACCACCTAAGTAGCGATGAGAACCCACCCCAGGTGCCCAAATTGTGATCTCTAAACCATTTTTCACTAAAACAAATCTACTTTCATTGTAGAAATGATTGATTTTAGGTCTAAGGCAGGATGTGCAGGTGAGTTCAGAATGCCTTGTTGAACCAGAAAGCAAGGAAGTTATTAAAGACCAATAGAGTCTTGCTATTGGTCAAGGATGGGACAATTTGATGCACTTTTTCTTTAAAATTCGCTCTGGGTGTTCTATGGAAAACAGGCACTAGGGGACAGGAATGGAGGCCGGGGACAGGTGAGGAGCTGCTGCAATGAGCCAGAAGGGAGAAAGTGGCTGTCACAACTAGGATGGAGGTGGTGGAGAGGGGGCACGTGGCTGTGTTTGTGATGCATTTTGAGATACAGAAGACAGCTGGCAGAACTGAGGATTTGTATGTGTAGGGATGAAAGGAAGGAAGATATCAAAGAAGACTCCTGGGTTGCTAGCTGGAAAAACTCAGTAGATAGTGGAATTATTGCCTGTGATGTGGAAGACTGGGGAGAACTGGACTTGAGGAAAGGAAATCAAGAGTTTAGGATTAGGCATATATAGTTTGAGATGGCTAGGAAACATATGAAAAGCAAATGGCTATATGATTTGGAAGCTCCCAACACAACAGAAGCTGGACTGGAGTCTGATCTACATGTGGATGGGCAGTCCTGTAATTACATCAACATTTCCCCTAATGACCAGGTAGGACACCTTCTGCACATTTACAGATTCACTCCTGTTTCGATGCAGCTCTCTGAGACCAAATTAACAAAAATGTGTAAGGAGAGGACATCGACATTGTTGAAAACTGAGAGAAATCCCCTTCCTAAAAGGGCCCCTGCTTTTAGGTCTTTTGCTATAAGGTCTCTTCCTCTCATAGTCATGGATAACAAGAGATTTGGTCATCTCAATTGAGCCTTTGGCCTTTCAAGGCGTCTAGTTAATGTCAATGATGTATTTATCCTCCTGTTGATGTCTACAGTCAGTAGAGTAATACTGAATCAGAGATAAAGGACTATATAATCCCACTTCTGTGTGCTGACTTCATTTAGCAGTCAAAAATTTACACACTTGACAAGAGAAAAAAAACCTATATTATATTTAAAAACATTTAGATAGCACAAAGAAAAACAATAATGATTGTATAATAAAGTGCTTCATAATTTACAGTACATGTTTCTCTTAGGTTGTCTGTTCTCATACAATTTGAATTCAAAAAATAGAATTCAGGGATATTTAGTATCATATAACCACATATATCATTTAAGCTGTGCTTATAAAAGTTAAGTTACAATCACCAACTTGTTAATAACACAGTCGAGATTTTCAGGTTGTAAAAATGTGTTTGTCATGCCTACCTGTCAAAAAATTATACCCAAGTCCCACATGCCACCTACTTGAAGAAAACAATGCTGGGTTGAGAGTGCTTTGTATCACCTACATGGGAGAATTCATATCACATGTGAGTTAATAATTCAGCCAACTTTATAAACCTGTTTTCATACTTAAGTTTTTGGCTACTTCTTACACTAAAATTAGGTGGTTTTAAGTGACTAGTCCAAAGTTCAAAATTTAATGCTCAGTTCAGTTCCAGCAAATTTCTGAAAACACATGGGAATTGTAACTCATGTGTTAATACTTAAAGTTTTCGTTAATAAAACTTCCAACACTAACCTTACCTCATTGAACTTACCTCACTGATTTTTATGCTCACTATAAAACTATAGCTGTCATAATATTTTTGAATTACTACAAAAGGAAGTAAGCCATTCCAAAGTCAATGTTATTTTGCAACATGATGATAGTTATAAATTCAAAATACTTAAAACCAATTTGCAAAGCTATCAATCTTAGTACCTCCTAACATTTATAAAGCCCATCTTCAAAACATTTGCTATTACGGAAAAAAACAAGTTTAAGAAAATACCATGTGTCATTCATATTGTGCTTTCCCTTCAGGTAAGCACATTAAATGTAAGCACGAAATTGTGTTTTAACATAAAATTTTAAAATATTGATCCCGCTTAGATATGCCATGAATTTTCTAAACTATCACTGAAGCTCCAGAACTTAAATCACAGATAATTTAGTACTAAGTAATAATTTTGTGATCTTTAGGTCAGTGCTTTTTAACAAATCCAAACAAATAACCTCCAATGAGATATGCCTAAAGTATTTGTAAATGACTAACAAATTAGGCACTGTATTTGTTAGGGTTAAACCCATGTTTTAGAGTCGTGTCTCTCAAATACTCCTGGAGGATGGGGACTTGTGTTTAAGGATCCAGAAGTTTGCTATAAGAGCGTTCTTATGTTGTCTGTTCTTTTCTATGTCATCTTTTCTTTTCTATGATTATCTCAAAAGTTAAAATGAATTTATCCTGGATCATGTAAATAACTCTTATAAATCTGGATCAGGTAAATCTCTCCTTGCTAATAGATTTCAATATAGCCTTTGTGTTTGCACTTAAGATTGCTTTGGAGTGAAATGGAAAAAAGCACAGAACTTCTTGTTTCTATGATACATTCCCTCCAAGTCTCAACCACAGGACATCATGCTAACCATGAAAACCAGGGGTTCATCAGCACTATAAATAAAAACAGCAATCAGCGAGGAAACTGGATCTTCACACAACATACCACTAGTTCAGGCCTCCTGAACTAGCACCTCAGCCATACCAGTTTGTACCACATTCATATCAGTGTAAATTCATGCGTGGAAAACACTATCCTTCTCCATATTAAATTAATATCATTAATTTAGATTTTATTAACTTTGACATTGTATTTTCATTTAGTACATAATCTTGATTTGGCTGCATAGTTCTATAAGAGCTATAAACATGCTTAATCTTATGTTTGTCACTAATTAAGTAAAGTAGTAATTATTACATAAAACAATACTAGGTGTCTACAAGGTTGTTTATTTGAAAAAAAGAAGAAGAAATGTTTTCTCAACTGTGAAAAATACTACTCTAAAATAAACAGTATTTGTTCTTTGAAACTTTTCTGAGTGTTGTGCAAAAGTTAAGTAGGGGTGTGGAAGCAGGGTGTGTGCCATGATGGAGCAGACTTGGGAAACATTGTGGGCTCTAGTGGTTTATGGTAGACAGTAGCATACTAAAGGTTCTGAAAAGTCCCACAGCAAAGATCTTCTTTAAATTGATTTAACTTACCTTTCCCCACATCTATTTTTTCCCACCGAACCCGTTCTTTTCTAAGAACACATAATAATATCCTTCAGAATATTTTTAGGAAAGGCTGTTCTAAAGTATCTTTAAGCCATCAAATTTGTAAGGTGTGGCATGGGTAAGAAAGGTTTGAGTGTGGCAAAATGGGAACACACTGCTGAAAGGGACTCAGAAGGCCTTGGCTGACAGTCTGCTGATACTTTTGAGATGCCCTCTGTGGCTAACACTGCATTAGGTGGTGCAGGAGGCTCCTGCATTCCCCAGGGCAACCTGTGATGTAAGTACTGCTTAAAGGTGAAAACAGTGGAGCTTTCAGGGCTCAGAGACCTAGTGTAGTAGAGCTATGGCTTAAAGCCCCATCTTCTGGTCCAAAACATACCCCAGCAGCCCATACCCTAGGTTCATTTCTGGCTCTGCTAGGACCTGGGGATGGGACCTTGGGGGAAGCTGCTTATTTCTGAGGGACTCAGTTATCTTTTGATAAAAAAATAAAATTGAGATAAAATTTTGCTCAATGACTTCTAAGGACTTTACCTAACCTAAATTTCATGTCAGGAGGTGAATGATCCAGCTGTACTGTATTGAAACATATTTAAAGCTTTGGTAATTAAAACAGTTTGGTAGTGATGCAGGAAGAAAAAGACAGATCAGTCCATGAACAATAATGAGGGAGTCCAAAATAGACTGACATACACATATAAAGTTAGTATATGATAAAGGTGGTAGTTAGATTCAGTAGGGGAAACATGGATTATTCCATTGATAATGACTGAAAACTTACTTTCATTTAGAAAAATAATAACAGTGAAACTTTACCTAACTCTTTATGACAAAAATAAATTCCTAATAAAGAGTTAGATGTAAAAAATTAAATCATAAAAGTGCTAAAACAGATGGGGTTGGGGGCAGTGGCTAACGCCTATAATCCCAGCACTTTGGGAGGCCAAGGTGGGAAGACTGCTTGAGGCCAGAAGTTTGAGGCAAGCCTGAGCAACGTAGCAAGACCTCATTTATACTAAATAAAATAAAAAATTGTTTGGGCATGGTGGTGCAGCCCTATAGTCCCAACTACTTGGGAGGCTGAGGCAGGAGGCTGCAGTGAGCTATGATTGCACCACTGCTCTCCAGCCTATGCAACAGAGTAGGACATGGGCTCAAAAACAAAAAGTATTAATATAGATATATGAAAAAATTTTAAAAAGAAAATATGGGGGCCCTTCTTTTTATTCATAGGGTATAGGAGCCCTTTCTAAGCAAGAGAAAAAGCCTAGACACCATAAAGTAAAAGACAGATAAATAAGATTAAATTTAAATTGAAACTATCTTCATGGAAAAAGACAAACGGCAAATTGCAGAAAATTTTTGTAAAGGCAAAATGTAAAATGCAGCGTGTATTCCAGTATGTCTAACATGTTTCCAATTGGGAAAAAAGAAAGAACATTTGCTTGTGTGCACACAGGCTATTTCTGGAAAGATGCATAAGCAAATGAAAAGAGTTTATTAAATGCCTCCTTCATGCTCAGTTAAATGAGTGATAAAAACAAGGATTAAATGAACACATTTGTCAATTTCACTTGTAAACTAACCAAGGAATCCCACCCAAAGATTCCTATGAGGAACTAACTCAGTGTAAGAGAAATCTAGTTAGGCCCAGAGCTCCCAGAAAATTAATTGATTGCCTGCATTTCTAGTTTAGCCCTTTCTTGAGGACAGAAATGCTGCAGGTGGAGGAAATGGCCAGGACACACTCTGCCCAGGAAGAATTATCCATGGTGGTACATATTATAGCTGTTATGACTCTTTATCTAGCATATTAATACATTGTAGGAAGGCAGGAAAAGAGTAATGGCTGCAAGTCGGAGCTCTTGACTCCTCAAGGTCAAATCTTAACCTTCCACTTACTCACCATGGCTTAGGGAAAGAAAGATACAATCTCTCAAAACTCCAGTCTCCTCATCCATAAAATGAGGGTAATAATAGTACAGATACTATGAGGATTAATTGAAATATGACTTTTAAGATGTTTTATTATAAGGCACTAAGAGATAAAGTAGAGACAATCACTGAACAGCAGCTGCTGTTTAATAGTGAAAAGTGACATAATTTATGATTACCATGATACATTATATATTCTATCATCTACATATGATTAGTAAATTTAGTCATTAGAGTATTTATGTTAATATTCTAGCAGTTATCATTAAAAGCTAATCTCACTGACAATAATGATAACATTAGCTAATGCCTAGGAGGCATTTTCATGAGGCCCCTCAGCATTTTTGAGACAGGGTGAGTTCTTGTTCTCCATTTTAGAAGGCCCAGAGCCACATGGCTTTTAAGCAGCAAAGCCAAGACATCACGCTCAGAAGGAGGAAAGCAGGAAATATCTGAACAGCATAAATAGCAACCAAAGCAGTGGAGAGAATGTGGTATGAAGCAAAAAAAGGGTGAATGTACTAAAATTATGACATGTATCTTATCCTTTCTGACATATATAGATAGATATTTATATACAAGGTAGGTATTATTTAGAAGTAAAAACTTCGAATCTCTGAGACGTCTCCTAGTTATAATGATAGAAGTGTCACTTATACATGTAAGGCGTTTATTATGTACATTTATATATTATTACACTTACATGTGTGTGTGTTGTGTGCTATTCTGCATCCAGTCTAAAGTGCTCCAAACAAAATGTCATCAAATGGAAAATCCTTCAAAATGCCAAGTGTAAATAACACCTTCCCTCTATGTATTCTTATGTTGTAATGTTTCAACTTCAGCCAAATATTTAATACTGAAATAGTTTTAACAAATTTGCTCTTCAAAAGAATGAAAACATGTATCCTATCCTCAGACATTCAGAAACATCTTTTATGCCCACAAATGCTGAAGGAAAGAAAGGTTCACTACTGAGGTTCCATTGTAACACCTCCCACTAAGGTGTGTGTTGAATTTAGGAACATACTTTCACATTTAAGCCAAGTTGGGACTTCACATCATTGAGTTTTAGGAAGAGCATAAATGATTCTGAAATGGGCGGTAACACCAAACTCTGTGCAAATTTACCTTGGCCAGAGCAAGTGATTGTTTCTCTGTTGGGACTTGTTACAGCCTCTTCCAACTTGGAAGCATTTTCATACTAAGGAACACGGAGCTGGAAAAAGAACTGAGCTCCATGAGTAAAGAAGACAATCACTATAAAAACTAAGCTGGAAGCAAGAATTGCCATGATGTTAAAAAAATTAGAGTCAACCTACATATACTTATTGCTCACTTTTTTTTTTCTTAAAGGCAGAGCAACAATCATCCCTTTGCTAGTATACATCATGGCTCCTGAAAAATATCACAGCACTTATAGCAGTGAACATTTTGGTATGGAAAATCTGTTTCATCCTGCGAATTTTCTATTTCTGTGTGGGTTTGTGTGTGGGTGTGTATAAATCAATTTACTGTGTAAGCATTGAGTCAACAATATTCTATTGTATTACTCTTGAGGCAGTGGTTTCTTTGTTCATAGTCCTACAATTTTATGAGAGAAATCATAACTTAACTGCTCAAAGAGTAACAATTGGTAATGGGAAGTTCCCACCGTTTTCACATCTGTAAGATGAAGAGGTGGAACTCACTGATCCATTTGCAACTCTGACATTCTGTGATTTTTATGATGCCATTTTGTTAGTTCATATTATGCAATACTGGGACCCAATAAAACACCCACAAACTAAGGGGCTATTGTTTCTGAGCAGCCTGATATCCTATCAGCAAACCTGGTCACTAGGCATTTACCCATTTAAACAGTAAACATTTGCAGTGCATTCTAAGAGGGAGATACAGAGAGTATTTTGCATCACATTTAGCCTTCCAAACAGAATATCTTGGATTGCAAACAAAAAATCATGCCCCTAGCTTTAACAATTACCAATTTTATAGGGAGGGGGAAAATGTGCTGATAGCATCCTATCTAGCTGAAACACAAGAAATACCCAGAAATGAGAGCACTCATCTAAAAGGAAATACTGTCTGAGCCAAAGGGGGATGAATATGTCTAGAAACTACAACCTTCTGATGATGGATAAACCAAATGCATCAAGCAGAGCTTGCCACTCTACAGCATTTCAAATGCAAGCAAGTTTGCGCAAAGACAAGTAAGGATGTTTTCAGGCCAAATATATTGCCCGACTCCTTTATAAACCATACGAATAGCAGAATTTGAGTCTTTTAAGAAGCAGTCACCATCAACCAAAGTGGTCTCAATTTCTACTGTAGTTTTAGAAGTGGAGCGTGAGGAAAGACACTTCTTCCCTCCGAGATTCTTCTTGCCAGGCACTTTAGATCCTGCCAGGAAGGACATAAATGACCAGAAACATGAACAACCACCTCCACTTCATCCCTAGGCATTCCCTATGAGGCACAGGTTTTGCTGCATAAAATATGTTCGTGTCCATTTACATTAAGCTTGAATTCCTTGGCCTCTTATGACATCATTGAGACTGGTCATTGGAAATGTTTCAATGAGACTGACTGTTCATACCTCTCATAAAGTGCTCTGTTTATCATCTTAGGGAATCTGCTTGTTTGTATCACAGGTCCACTCCAGTCTGTTGGAAGCAGCTTCATAGAGCCTAATGTTAGGAAGGATCCTAAGGCCACATCCAGACTTGGTGAAAAGATGGGCAGGATGAAGCAGTGAGGACTTCTAGACACACAAGTTTGGGGAGCCATGGCATGCCTATATTGGCCCCCTTGATCTAGAACACCCAACCCTGAATCTTCACAGGTACATGCATGGCTGGCTCTTCGTTCTTGGACTAGGCTTATGTATCCTCCAATCTTGAAAAATTGATTTAGTACCTGTAATGAGTTGAATGGTGGTCCCCAAATAGATGTGTCCATGTTCCAGAACCTGTGAATGTGATCTTGTTTGGATAAAGTGTCTTTCAAAATGTGATTAAGAATCTCAAAATTAGATCATCCTGGATTATCTGGGTAAGCCCTAAATCCAAAGATGAGTGTCCTTATAAAAGACACACACAGCAGAGAAGAGTAGAAGGCCACGTGAGGACAAGAGAAGAGACTAGAGCTATGCAGCCCAAGTGAAGGAGCCTCCTGAAGCTGAAAGAGACCAGGAGGATTCTCCCTTAGAGCCTCTGTGGGGTGTGCAGATTTTGCAACACCTTGATTTCTGATTTCTGGTTTCCAGAACTGTCAGACAATAAACTTCTGTTGTTTTAAGCCACCAAGTTTGTGGTAATTTGTTATGGCTGTCCTAGAAAACTTATACAGTATCCCCTTTCATCCATCCACTTACCACTACCAGCTAATGTTTATTATTTTTTATGGGGATTCAAAGACCAATGAAACACCGTCCCTGCATTTCAGAGGCTCTTGTTCTACAGGGAGTGATACGTAAACCAACAACTATGGGAGTGAAGCACAGAACTCTCCTGAAATAATGTTGAAAGCATCCTCAGAGGATGTAACATGACTGTGGTCCAAGAGTCTCCATCAATAGAGCCGGAGGGGAAGTACACGGGATCTCCACAGTGGGCAGACAGGACACCGAGGGGCCATGTGCGAGTTGCCAGATCCTAAAACTGTGTCCACCATAGTTGGTGAGCTTGGATGGCATCTTTTCCTGTGGGAAAAACAGGGAATCTGTAGAAAGTGCTGTTCCTGGTGAAGTAAAGGATATGTGAAGGTTTCTTTTCCTACCTCAGTCCTGCTCAAGAACTCAGAGGTCTAAACTCCCTTTCATGAAAACACAGACTTTCTACTCCTGACCTTGCATCTTGCCTTTCCCCCTTGCCAGACACATTTGCCTGAAGTTTCCTTCCTCCAAAACTCTTTGCTACATGGAATCCCAGCCTTCCCAAAAGTCTTTCCAGAGAACCAGCTCTACGAGCACTCTTATTGGGGAGAAAAAAAAAGGACTGAGGGGAGGCAGAAGACATTCCAAAGTAACATAAATTTGGGAAATGCTCTTTCAGGAATTTGCAAAATGCTCTGAGAAGTCCAGTTTAACTTTGGTTAATCAGCATTTCCCAAACCTATTTCACTCTAACATTGTCTTTTTTGTAACATCTTATTAATATCCTGGGGAACATACTATAGAAAATGCTGCATTTGAATAACGTTATTTTTCAAATGTAAGTTTAATAGATTATATTCTATATTTGGTAGGCCCTCCAATATATACTGCTGGCTTAACTCACTGTTGGAACATTTTTCCCTCTCCTGCCAAAAACCCAACACCTTTATCAAAAAGCATATCCCTTTACCAATGCCCTCTGATGACCACTAAGCAAGCAAGAACCAAGCACCCCAGTCCAAGGCACAGTGGTAGACCCTGGGAACATGACATTTCCCAGGTGGCATCCTTGCCCTTGATAGCTTACGTGACTTCACTTTATACAGCGTGAGTTAATTCTACACTCAACAAAACCACAAAATTAAAAGTATGTTAGAATAACCCTGCTGGGAAAAGATATTTCATTTTGATTGTTAACAATTCTAAGTATTGTTTGCACAAATGGGCAAAATATCTTACAAAATTTGCCTTCCTCATATGGCAAATTTCATCATATTCATAAGCATCCCTACGAACATGAAAAAATGAATTTTCTGAAACATCTTTCCTCAGAAGATCAGGGATAGGGCATGCTCCCATGCCATTCCTTTCTGTATATTCCCTGTCACCACTAGTTAGTTGCATTAACATTATTAAGTTGCAATATATTACACACAGTACAGTAAAAGCTGTAAAAATAAGCTCTTGGTTATTTCATGACTACACATGCTATAAGAGTTATTCAGAAGACGGAATTACAAGGAAAGGGGCCTAAAAACTCCCTCTCTTACCTCTAACAGTTGTCCTCAACACAGAAATTCAGGGGATAATCAAATTAAGGAGGAAAAAAAATCATCCTCTGTTTTTCTCTTCATACTACAGTTCTGAATGGAAAGTTATTTTCCAGGCAAAGATGAATGAAATCTGCTCTTTCTAATCTCTGTAAAGATTGTGAAAATAAAGATCCATTTCATTGGATAGAGTGATGTCTTCTCTGAAAAGCAGCCATATTCTGACATAATCAGAGATGAGTGGGCAGGACCTGCACTCTGCGGACTGCAGGCTGGTGCGCCTCCAGCCTGCACCTCCGTAACTCATATCACACCTCAGGAAAACGGACATCACAAGAACTGTTTCTGTCACTGAGGAAGATAAGAGCATTTACAAGTTGGACAATAACAACAATATTATAACACAGAAAGAGAGACTGTTTTCCTTCAAAGAGGAAACATCCACATACGTGCTTCACCTGTTCCTGTAACAGATGAGGAGTTTCATTCTAATTCCTCTTTAAAACAATGTAATAGTAACACAACCTACTGCTCTTTATTGAATGCCAGGCTAAGGGCATTACTGCTGGGGAGGTAGGGAGCATCATTCCTCCAGTTTTTAGAGAAGGGAAGTGAGCCTCAGGAAAGTAAAGGACTTACCCATGGCCCCACATCCACCGAAAATCAACCGGGCCTCCCCAGCCAACAGAATAGCCCAGAAACTGAAGGACCTGAAAAATGTAAGTGGCAGACAAATGGAATCCAACAACTCGGGTTTCCTGATTTCTAAATCCAGGTCCGGAGTAGCCATTGTGGTTTTAGTGTCCCTATAATATAGAGGAAGTCATCCATTAAAGACGGAAATGTACTGAGTGGGAAACATTCCAGCAAGAGGAAATTGGGTCACTCAGAGCCTCAGAGGAGAATGTCAAGGGGTTTGTGCTCAGACCTGCTGAGCAGATGAAAGTGGCCTATACACAACTCAGCCAAAGAAACTTTGCAGCTTTTCCCTCATCCTCTGCAACCGGTGTTGGTGTTGGGAGCATAAAAATGGATTTTGATTGGGCTACCTTTGAGAATTAGACTTTAAATCCAGCAAGATGTGGTACTTTCAATAACAATTGTTACCAGATCTTGTCACCTGGATGTTCTTACGCTCATATTTTATTCATACGTTCACTGGCTAACTTTTCCCTCCCTTTGCTTCACTTATGACAGAGACTAAACACTGGAATCGCAAATCAAATGCAAATGGAGGTCAGGCGAGTGACACAAGCGCTCCCTCCAGCTGGGTGGGACGGGGTGGACTGGCAGCCACACCTCATCCCATCCCCAGGGGCAGCCAGCCACACCTTAGCTCCCACCCAAGACTGCCAGAGGAAGCCCAGGCAGTGCTAGGGACAGAGCTTCACATCACCCAAGAAAAACTAGAAACCTACATTATTACATGAAATGTCATGATTTTTTCATTCCTGGCAACTTATTTTGATATCTTTAAGAAAAAAACAAAACCAAAAACAAAGAACACGGGGTGAGAACAGAAAACTGAATCCTGGGGACTGGATTCACCCCACAGGTTTCCAGCCTAGAAAAACTCTACTAAACACAGCAGAGTTCAGCAATGAGGAATATATTGAGATCATTCCATTTGAAAGACAGCCTAGAGAGCTTGTTAACAGTGTTCTGTTTTCCTAAGAAAAGGTTTACTTAGGAATATATAATTAGACAAAGAAGAAATATGCAATTCTGTGTCCTTTCTATTAATATTATGCTCTTCTAAACTACAAGCTAAACAAAAAGTTAAGTTGAATTTCTTCTTGAAGAAAGTGAAGGACTTAGCCTGCAACCCCAATTTCTTCTTCTTGAACCCACTGATGTTGATAAGTAGCTGGTATATTTTTGAACTTTAATAGAAACCTTGTCAAAAAAAGATGTGCATTATTCACTAAAATGATACATTAATACTACTTGCAAAAATGTATTTGACAACTTTTTTTTTGTCACCATTGACCAAGTTCCACGCTCTGTTGCTGAACTCTGAGGAAGCAAACAATGGTAAATGAGATAGTCCTATCTTTATCACTGGGTTAGCAGGAAGGACAACTAAATAAACATCCCAATAAATGTTGGTTACCTGTTAAAATAGGGGAGGGAGAGAGTCCTAAGGGGATGCAGGATGAATTAGAGAGAGCTTCCTGGAGGAAGGGATATTGAAGATGAGACGAAAGAGAAAATGGTCAGGGAAGGGGAAAGGATAATTTGAGATGAGATGATCTCAAATTCAGATGCAGGAAATAGCACTATGGCTTAGAGAATCTGAAGTGAGTTTGATATGCCTGCAGAATTCAATTGGCAGGGTGAAGTGGGGACAGTGGAGAGATGATACAGATGAACTGGGCCATGTTATGGATTCTGGGTTTTATCTTGATGGCAATAGGAAGTGGCATGATCAAATATGCCCGCGAGAAGAAGCACTCAGCAAGGATGTAATGGAGCCAAAAGTGTCACTCTGTGCAGAGACACAACCTTCCCTCCTCTCTAAGAGGGATGAATTCCCACTTGCTGAGCCAGCTCCCAAGCTCCCCTTTGTTGTGTAAGACCCAAACTATGGACTAAGCTAGTGGTTCTCAACCAGGACAATCTTGACGCCCAGGGACATTTGGCAGTCTCTGTAGATATTTTTGGTGGTCACAATAGGGAGGCAGGAGAGTGAGAGTGGCATCTAGTGGGTAGAATCCAAGGAAGTCTCCACAACAAAGAATTATCCAGCCCAAAATTTCAATAATCCCATATTGAGAAAATCTGAAATAATTTAACAAAAAAACTAGAAGTGTATCTATCTATCTATCTATCTATCTATCTATCTATCTATCTATCCATCCAAACTATTTTTTAAAGGGGCAGGAGGAGAGAAGGGGAGAGATTCCAAAAACCTACAAGACCTTGGTGTCAAGAGGAGTTTGCCAGGACTTAGAAGAGGTGAGAAGATACAGAATAGCTGAGTGTTAAAGAAGGAACCTGAGATAAAAAGAAGGAATAGTTGGTAGGAAGTTCAGCGGCACTGCTAGCCCAGTATCAATGCACTGTAAACAACCAGTGAATATTTGTCAGGTGAATGAATTAATGAATGAACAAACAGATACATCAATGAACTGGATCTTCTTTAATGAGTCAAAGTAAAGAACTGAGACCATCTTTGTCGCTATGACTTAAATGTTACTACAGACTGCTATGTCAACATCTTAGTTGTTTGTTCCAGCAAATCTTTGCCCAGAAAAAAAAAAATCATTATTTGCTCCAGGAAATTCCCATTGATAGACTTATTGGAGAAAATAATCTGCTCACTTTGGCAAACCATTGTCTTATCAATCACAGTTTATTCATCGCAACTCTCTTCAAGACCCTCACTTTGCTGTGTACAACAACCCTACATTATCACATCACAGACTTTGAACAATTCCAATTAGTTCTGCCTGAAAGGCCCATCTTAAACCACTTGAGGCCAAACCCCAAAGACCTATAAACATTTCACCTCTAATTTTCCCTTCTTAGACACTGCTAAGACTTTGTTGAGGTGGCATGCTCCCTCATTGGAATAAGGTATAAATTTAGCTGATGATATTTTGGGGCATTCAACAGAATGGAATTACTTTTTAATTACTTCGGTTATTGGGCTATGTGTCTTTGAATGCGACAGGACTAGGACACATTCTAGATCCTGTATTTTTTTTTTTTTTAAGTTACATTTTAGGGCCTGTCTGGGATTTTGAACCAAAGCTAAAGTACCCAGCTGTACCATGTCTTAAAATATCCCCAAAGAATTTCATCCATTTATTTAAAAATATTCCTGGGGTACCTGCTGTGTCCCAGGCACTGTTCTGGATGTTAGGAATATCAGTGAACAAAATAGTTTTCAGTCTAGTGGGAGAATGGGGCAGGGCAGAAGAAAGACAACAAGCGCTAAACGTAGTAAATAATTAGGTTATATAGAACGCTAGAAAATGTCATAGAGCAAGCCTGGGGAATCCTGCAGTTGGAGGGAGCTGCAGTTTTAAACAGGGAGATCAGTGTAAGTCTCCACTGAGAAGGTGACATTAGAGGGAGAGGACTTGAAGGAGGCAAGAGAGTTTGCAATGTGAGGAGCTAGGGGGAAAGCATTCCAGGTAGAGGGAAGAGCCAGCACAGAAAAAAAAAACAAAGATGGGCAGATGCCAGGCATGTTGGAGCAACAGCCTGGAGGCCACAGGGTTGGAATGGAGTGAGTGAGGAGACAATGGCTAGGAGACAAGGTCACAAGGAAATGGGGTAAGGACAGGGATGAAGAAGGGTTACACAGACCTGGGTGTCACTGTGAAGACTTTGGTTGATATGGTCACTGGAGGGTTTTTTGTTATTATTGTTGGTCTTTTTTTAAGACAGGATCTTGCTCTGTTGCCCAAGCTAGAGTACATGGTGTGATTACAGATCACTGCAACTCCAACCAACTCCAACTCCTGGGCTCAAGCTATCCTCCCACCTTATCCTCCTGAGTAGCTAGGACTACAGGTGTGCATCACCACACCTAAGTTGTTTTGTTTCTATTTTTTTAAGAGATGGGGTCTTGCTACATTGCCCAGGCTGGTCTTGAACTCCTGGCCTCAAGCAATCCTCCCACGTCAACTTTCCAAAGTGTTGGGATTATAGGTGTGAGCCATCATGTCCAGCCCCACTGGAGGGTTCCTGAGCAGAGGAAAGACAGAACTAGACTTACGTTTTAACAGGTTCACTGTAGAGAGGCAGTGGGAGAAGCAGGGAGAAGTTAGGAGGCATCTGCCACAATCCAGATAAGAATTGACTGTGCCTACACCCCTCAGTGAGGAGGATGAACAGTAGACTCATTCCAGGAAGAGCCAAGGAGATGTCTGCACAGGTTGGTTGAGGGGTGTGCTAGCTAAATAGGCATTTAATATAACTTCTAGACTGGTAGTCTCATGAAGAAATCAGGGTCAATCAGACACAAGCTGTCCTTATTCTTAAAACACAACTTGAAAGTCAGAAAAATGGGTAGAGGATCTAAACTTGGCACATGATTTCAGAAAGAATGCACAATTCAGGACTTATGTTTCTGGTACAGAAAGAAACTTGTAAGGCATGATTTGAGTTCACTGAATAAGAGAAGTTTTTAAAATTCCTTTATGAAGATCCAAACTGTATACTAATGTTCACTATAATCTTGATAGGTGTCTAGTTTCTTAATAAAGTAGGATCCCTTTTGCACTGGGGGTGGGTGGGGATCCTTGAGAAGGGCCTGCCTGTTCGCTAGGCAGAAGGTTCAACAGGAAGAACCACAGTGAAGAGAGCCAAGCTCCGCCTGGCAGCACCTCCAGAGATACAATAGAATTACACTGGCCCCATGGAAAAAGGAAAATAGATAGAAGTTCACCTGTAAGCAGAATGATCCAGTTATGTATTAGAGCTCCCTTCGTGGAGGTCTGCAACTGGGAAGAAGGAACCAAAAGTATTAATGTTTAACGAGGACACAACAATAAGTGTGTTTATTCTTCACTGTCCTGTTGTCCTAGTGTTGAAGGGGGAGGGGCCTTTAACTTGGGGTTGTCTTTAGGGCCTTTCTGGACTCTGGGGACAAAGAAAATAGAGGAAACATAAAAATAGCCCAGAGGTTAGGTACATGTTTTGTTTTCTGGTTTACTTATTTATTTTTTTAAATTTGTAATGCTGAAAAAATGGAGAGCAAGGCAGAGAGAAAAGCCACTTTGGTCAAAGACTAGCCATGAGGGAGTAACAGCAGCCCTGGGGTGTTCTTTGAAAATGGGACAAGTGTTGCTAGTGTTTATAAACTGGCTTATATTTATCAGCATTCTTGTGCTAGCAAGTCACTGGAAATATTTCCAGTTAGTTTAAGAAGAAAAGAGGATTTAGTGATTTATGTGATTCCTTGGGATAATGTTCTTTGGGATATAGAAGTAAAGATTACTTTTTAATTACTTTGGCTGCTGGAGGTGTTTCATTGACTGTGACCTAATCACCACGGTGAATCAATCAGAGGTGATCAGGTGTTAGGCCCAGCCAATCGCAGCCCTTCTTAGGACCACGTAATGCATTCAATACGGAAACATGTTTTATTCTATTGGGGTTGCAAAGATGGGAGGATATGAACGAGGATATGATACTGGGTCTGCTGATGGCCCTGGCATCTTCCAATATATAGCCCCCAAAAAGGAACAAAAGGCCAAGATATTGAAGGGGGAAATGAAAGAAATGCAATGATGGCAATGTTTGAGTCTCTGGATCCAGCTATGTCTAAAGTCAATGCTATCCTGAAATTTCCAATCACACAAATCATTAAATCCACTTTTTTTTTTTTTTTTGCTAATTTTAAAAGAGTTGCAGTTACTTGCTAGCATAAGAATGCTGACTAATGTAAACTGAAGCCCATTAAGCTTCCCATTCCTTCTTTAAAATGAACTATAAATCCTCAAACTAAACACAATAGTCTCTGACTCAACCAAGGGGCTTTGGGTCCCAGTCTCAGTTTTCCCAGGCTGCACCCTTACTGACCTACTCTGGTCAAGCCACTCACCCAGTCTCTGCTTCAGTTTCCTCATCTGAAAAAATGATGGGCTCTCAAAGACCCTGTCCACCTCTGATACTCTGCTTTCACCCTAAAAATGTGCAGGCAACCACAAGAGCTAAAGCACTCGGAAACTATTCCCCATCACCAAAGCCACCCTTCTGATTTTTTCATTACACCAAGACATTTTACCTAAATAAAATATAATAAAACAGGGAAAACTAAGTACCTATTTAAAAAGCCATTGACTGAATCTTCTCAATCTAACAAAGTAAGGGAAAAATGTGAGACATGACCCCATCCAAAGTAGAAAGCCTAAATAGTAACTGATTCCTACTGTAATAGCAACTAGGTGAATTTTTTCAAACTTTCAAGAACAAATGTTTTCCATATAAGATATACTACTCAACAACAGAAAAAAATTGTTAATTGATGCTGTCAAGAAATCTTACTATCCTGTAAATCAACACACAATCTAGCTATGTACATATATAAAATCCTCCTTATTAGTATGGATACAAAAGTCCTAAATAAAACTAGCATATGGAATTTAAAATACTTAGAGACAACACCATAACAAAAAGGCTTTCACCTAGGGTCCTTTAGCCTAAGACACTTTATTAACAGAAATACCACATCAATAAGCAAAGTAAGAAAAGCTAGTGAGCACTTTAATTGATATTAAAGTATTATTTAGTAAAATGCAACTTTCATTCCTATAAACATTTTTAAAGGGAAATGGAAGCTCTCTCAACATGAGGGAAAGTATTTCCACAGCAAAGAACCAATATGTCATTACTCAAGAAACTCCTTAGGCCATTCCCATAGAAAATATAAGCAAATATTTAATGTTTTGAAGTTTATCGCAGAACAACACACAAAAAATATTTTCAAAGTAGAAATAGTGACAACAAAGGGATAAAGATAATATTATTTGCCTTAACATATAAAGAAAATTTAAATAACCAATAATTTTTTATAATCTTAGGAAAAAATAATGATCTGAATACAAATATATATACACATATCTATTTCTTATACATATTTCAAAATGACATTACAAAAGATAAATCACTTAGGAATAAACTTAATAAGCATCATAAAAACACTGAAAACAGGAAAATAATTGACAGTATATCATATTTACTTAAACTAATCAATTCTCCCTAAGTTAATTTATAGATTGAATGTACCCTATAGATGATTCTTTTTAAAAATAAAGAAAATGTTTCTAGAAATCAACTAGGGGGAAATCAGGTAAGCATGTCCAATACCATTCTGAAAAAGCAATTCTGGATTGAAAGGAGCAATCTCTTATCTATCCAGAACATAAAGTAGGAGAGCCTGCTGTAGGATACAAGATTAATAATCAGGCTGACATACAGTCCCCAAACAGAGCCAATGATAGATGAGAAATAATATGAAGAATGAATCAAAAACAGTGAAGAAAGACCATTAAATAAATTATATTAAGATAAATTAAACAGAAAGAAATTAACTTAAATTCATGCTTTGTAACATCAAAATAGACTCTTTTTTTAAACTTTCATTTTAGATTCGAGGATACATGTGCAGGTTTGTTATATAAGTAAACTTGTGTCACAGGGGTTTGTCATATAAATTATTTCATCGCCCAGGTACTAAGCCTAGTACCTAATAGTTATTTTTTCTGCTCCTCTCTCCCTCCTTCCCCCTCCCACCTTCTACCTTCAGGTAGGCCCCAGCATCTGCGGTTCCCCTCTTTGTGTTCATGAGATCTCATCATTTAACTTGTAAGTGAGAACATGCGGTATTTGATTTTCTGTTCCTGCTTTAGTTTGCTAAAGATAATGGCCTCCAGCTCCATCCATGTTCCACAAAAGACATAATCTCATTCTTTTTTATGGCTGCATAGTATTCCATGCTGTATATGTACCACATTTTCTTTATCCAATCTGTTACTGATGGGCATTTAGGTTGATTCCATGTCTTTGCTATTGTGAATAGTGCTGCAATGAACATTCACATGCATGAGTCTTAAAATAGACTCTTGACAGATCTAATCTATCAAGGAAGTTTTTTTCCAAATAAAGTTAAACTGGTTACACGAATTATAGTCCATGCACATAACAGAATATGATGCAGCAGTGAAAAGCCTGAGGTCAGCCATCTCTTGGGTAGAATGAATTCTTGGGTGTCCTGCTAAGTAAAGAATGTAAAGGTACACAACTGTGGCCATGGGACACTTCCAACTGCAGTGTTGAAATTGCTTTGACTTTGTACATGTATTGTACTTCCAAAAAGAACAAATAAACTATAAAGAAACAAATGTTTAAAAACCAACAACAACAAACATCAAGGCGCAGAGAACAAGCTGAAATTAGAAGACAGGACTTATCTGATCCTTGGAAGAACTAAAAAAGTGATGACAGAAATGACTGACAAATTCAACTGTATGTACAGCCAAAAACCTCATGACAACTCACAAAACCAAAATTTAGAAGACAAACAACAAAATGGGGGTAAATGTCTGCATTAACTAAGGAAGAGTTAATATTTCTAATATGAGATTACACTAGACAAGAATCCACCATATAGGCAAATCACGGCGAAAATATACACAGTAAACAAAGCATGGAAATATATTCAACCCTGCAATATAATTAAAGTTGTAAAAAGGCAGGATAGTGTTATGCTGAACATTTTCACTTTAAAAGACCCAGTACTAGCAAGGCTATAGGAAATTTGGTATCAGTCTTTTGCTGAGGTATTATAATAGGTACACGAGCACCTTTTAAAAAGCAATTTCAAAGTGCACAGAATATGCCATAAAAGTGGTTATACCCTTTGACCCAGTAATCCAAATGTTCAAAGATATTCCCACTGCAATACTAACTATACAAGTGAAAAATTTTAGAAATAGCTGCAATGAACAAAAGTAGAAGTGTGGCAAGGGAAATCATGACACACAGTGTGATTAAGAATAAAATTAAGAGGCTTATAACTACATGGGCACAAGTTTAATGACAAAAAGTTAAATTTAAAAACTCAAAACCCTGAATTTTGGCTATATTATAAATGCAACTATATTTAATATAATGTACATACAACATAACAAAGTCCCAAAGGAACATGGAAAGAATTTTTTAAATTCTGTCATAATGTTAAAATTATGATGGATTTAAGCATTGATATCATTAGAGCATATTAACAATACATTACAAGGGGAATTATAAATTATTTTTGGAAAATGGCCTGTAGGCAGGATTGAGACAGGTAAATATTTTTCAAAAATTTCCCCAGCATGATATGATACATCAATACTGGCTTATTTGATTCTACATATCTAAATGGATAATCAAAGACTAATCTAGAATGAGAGCTAGAAGAAAAAGACTTTGACTGCATCTCATGTCTGCCAAGGTCACCTCTGGAGTCCAGAATACACATCTGCTCTTATTAGGGTCTCTACCTGTTCATATGGAATACTCCTAGTTCTTTTGATTGTTGGCCTGATCACTGTCTCCCAGATGTTTTCAAGGGGGTGGGGGTAGGGCCACCGAGGGACAGTGGCTCAAGGACTCTAAGTCTCTCTCCAATTGAGGGCACATGACCTCTACATTCCCATTATAGACCCCAGAAAGTTATGTGTGAAGGAATGTGTCCTGGTGTGTCCCTGAGGCTGTGTTCTATGAACTCAAATCCTGTGCTTCAGTCCCAGTGTCTTTAAGAGATTCACTTTCTAACAGCCAAGACCAATTCGTAGTTTAGACAAAAACAAGACAAGCAATCAGCTCAATAATGCACTCAATCTCTCGCTCCCTCTTTCTCTCTCCCTCTTTCTCTCTCTCCCTCTTTCTCTCTCTCTCTCTCAATCTCTCTCCCTCAATCTCTCTCTCCCTCAATCTCTCCCTCTCTCTCCCTCAACCTCTCCCTCTCTCTCTCTCAGTTCTATCCCCCCCTCTCTCTCACCAGCTCCAAGAGTGCACCTCCTCCTGCCTTTGGTGTTGATAATGTCAAAAGTATCAAAGGGCAAAATCTGCCAAATAAGGGTAAATCAGAAAAACAGCAGCTGGTTCAGAAAGAGAACTGTGGCACTTTACGGAGCAGACCACTTACAGCAGCACCCACACAAGACAAAGCTCAGTAAGTCAGCCATACTCATTATTAAACCATCTAAGCCAGGGAGAAAACGAAGATGATGGTCTGAAATTCATTCATAGGATTTCAATACAAAGCTGGTTTTACCTAACTTTACAACAGCCAGTTTCCACTGAACCATGTCACAGCTCCACAAGAAAAGCCAAATGGCTCATTATGTGAAAAGTTCCAATGACTGTTTTTTAATGTTTAGCAGCAGTTGCTTGGCTCGGCCACTGCAACAAATATTGCTGAACTGTTTAACTTACAAGAGACATTTAAAAGCAAAAAAGCCCAAATTCTAAATATGCAATTCATAAAATAGCATATTTTCTTTAATTCATTTTCTCAAAGTTTACAATATCTGTACTAATTCTCTGTAACTAGATATGTTCTGGATACATTCTCAGAGAATCTGTGCAGAATAAAAATTTGAAACATCTTAAAACTAACTAAAAACATCTTTCTAGTATGCTGCAAGGCAAATGCTTTTTAGATGTTTTGCATTTTTATGCTAAACAGTGCAGCTGCGACTGATAAAAAGCAATCAAGCTAATTTAAGTCAATCAACTCCAGGAGGTTCTCATCACTTGGATAAAAATGCTCTCTCACTCCTTAGAAAATAAATAAAGATTTAACAGAGTGACTGCATTTTCTTGACTCTGCTTTCTTGCCATTCCAAAGGCAGCATATAACCAAGAAGTCATGTCAAGCAATTTTTGTCACAAGTTTAAAGCATAATGCAAACTTTTAAGTCATATTTAATTAAGTAATCCTGGGCCATAGCACATCAACAGAGAATAACAAACCTTGAGTGAGAAAAGACAGACAGACACACACACACACACACACACACACACACACACATTGGCACACACACATAGGCACACACTTATGAAAGGTACAAAATTTTCATTAGAGAGACCATCAATTCCTCTTCAGTCTTTAAGGAGAGTATCACATTAAAACAATTTAGTTCTGGCTGGTTGTCATTATTAAAAGGTGATCCTGGAATTTGAAAAATCACTATTTTAAAATTCGTAAGTTCAGGGGTAAACTGTAAAGCAGAGTTCATGCACTTCACTAAGTTCATACATATATTAGGAGAAAACCAGGAGGGATGGTTACAAAGTATTTTACTAAAAATAAAGATAAAGATAATATATGTTGAAGATTTAGTGCCGAAGAGAGGAGGAGCCAGTCTAAATTTCCCATTTCCACCGGGAGGTCAACACCACACTCCTCTGATGCCTGCAAATATGACTTACATAAGTTCAAGCAGTAGCCGATAAAGGCCCATCATCAGACATATTAGCTACCTAGGCAGAAAAGATCCATCAAAGCCATTTGGTCTTTCAATAAGTGATCCCCAACAGGCAATATAAAAAAAATCAGAAAAAGCTTATCTCCCTCTCACAGTGTAAAACCCTGGCCAAGTTACTGAGAAATTATACATATATCTTTCTCAATCTAATAGGTGGGGTGTTAATATCCATTCTGAAAATTAACTATCTGACAGGGCCGAGCATAGCAGTGCTAATTTATAAGAGATATCAGATTCTATATCAGAGCCATGTATGAACACAATTTTTCTTTATTAATTTACTGAATATAGAAAGATGGGATACATTAAGGAAAAGATGACAACAAATGAAAGAAAGAGCTGGAACATATTACTCTCTAAAGCTTCTATGAAATTAGTCATGTGAATAGTACTGAAAAGATGAATCAAGTTTTTTAATGGAGTTTCAGAGCAGAAAACACTAAGGAGCATCAGTCCCTGCTGACCATAAAGATACCTCACGCTTGCTGTTGAGCAAGAATGTAGGAAAATACCTTCATATAGCAGCCCTCTATGATTTAATGCCCACATATGGAAATTCCACACACTTTGCAGTGGGTATATGTGTGTGTGTGTTCTCTAGGAATGTAGAATGTTACATTAAAAGAAGAAAACTCTTTCTATACTCACAATACTTCTGACACCAAATGTATGGGGTTTTCACATGAAGCAAGTCTCCAATTCTTTGCAGATACAAACTGGGTATCCTAAAATTAAACTCAATTCCGACACTATCTACTCAGAATTAGCACAGACCTCACAGGTTAAGGACTCAGTCACACAAGACTGCCCCCCACCCTCCCACTTCAGATGCCAATTGCATGTAGTGGGTCCCCAGGTTACCTACACTTCCATCTGACTTAATTATAAATCAGGGGTTCCCGTAATCCCCTCCTAAGTTTTGGAAATTTGCTAGAATCGCTCACATAGCTCAGGGAAACATATCACTTGTGAATATAGGCTTATTACTGTCAACTGAAGAATCATAAGGTTCATATATTTAGAGAGGAGAGCTTTATTTCTTGTAGAGAGTTGCAGCCTGCAGCCTGGCCATCCTGCTGGCTAAGAGGTGTATCCTCTGGCAGAAACTAAAAGCAAGCACTTCAAGGGAGGACAGGGCAAAACAGGAGTTCATGCCAAATGGGTTGGCTAAGTATACATATTTAACAGGTTGCAAAAAGAGCTATGAATATTCATGAAGGAGGCTTGCATGCACAGTAAGCAAACATGCACGTTACATACATCCCATGTTCACTTTGGAGTGGAGACTTAACATTTAAATGTATTAAAATTAAGCTCTATATGTTAAAAGGTGAAACGGAGGACACAGGCATCCTGTATGAGTAGCCTCTATAAACCAGCCAGAGGAAGTCCATGGTCAGTGGTCTTCTAAGAAAAAAGGAATGCTAGTCAGTTATTGTGTAAATCAGTGGTGGAGCAAATTTTTCCAAAGGGCTGGTTTCCATTCAACCCTTACGAAAGAAAGTCTAAAGGCAGTTATCTAGGGAGTGGGTATAACAGGCATGTCTGACCTCCCATCATGTCATGGCCAGGAACTCAGTTTTTAAGGTTTCTCTGGGGTTCCTTTAGCCAAGAGGGGGTTCCATTCAGTGAGTAGGGGGATTAGGATTTTATTTTTCTTTCCCATTATAAAGGATACAACCCAGGAACAAACAAATGGAAGAGATGCATAGGGCAACACAAGACACCCTCCCACCACTTCAGCATGTTCACCAGCCTGAAACTGCCCTTGCAAAGATTAGAACAGTGAGAAAATTGTAACAGTGAAAGAGATCGGACCTAACCAACTCCATCTTGCCTTTAACCTCCAAGCTGCCTTTTTCATTCCCGGGTGTAGAGTAAACTAACTTTGAGAAGAATTGAGTTGATAGTTTAATTTTGAAACAAAAATGGTAGCCCCTCCCTGAAACAAAGCCTTCCTTGCTTGGGGACCAGATTGTCTTTGTAAAGCCAACAAATTAGCCACAAGATTAGAAATCATGGCTCAGGAATCATGCAGCCAGAGACCTCAAGATTCCTAACCTCCCCAATTCCTTGTATGGATAACAACACTATGTCAAACCTAAGATTGGTGTTTAAGGTATTTTTCAGACCCTGAATTCTGATGGATCAGCTGGTGCCACTAAGACCAGTAAATTGGCTCATCTGGTCTTGTGGGCCCCAAGAAGGAATTGACTTCCAGTCTCCCCTTTGGCCAGCTCCACATGCATTAAACTCTCTCTATTGCAATTCCCCTGTCTTGATGAATTGGCTCTATATGGGCAGTAGGCAAGATAAACCCATTGGGCAGTTACAAACCCAGAAGCTCTCTGAACCCCAATGTTTAGGGTTTTGATAGCAGTTCCATTACATAGGCATGCCTGATTCAATCACTGGCCATTCTCCAGCCCCTATCCCCTCCTCGAAGGTGAGACTTGGGGAGGGCTAACCATAGGGTTGGTTCCTCTAGGAACCAGCCCCCATTCTTCAAGAGTCACGTCATTAACATAAACTCAGGTGTAGTTGAAAAGGGCTTATCACAGGTAACAAAGGAAGCTACCCTTACCCTAGGGCTCAGAAATGCCAAAGGTTTTAAGAACTCTGTACCAAGGACCAGGATGAAAACCAAATATAAATTTATTATTATATCACAAACATATATATCACAGGTTCTTTTAATTCCCAGAGAAACAATTTTCTTGCATTATCAAGGACCTGAGTGTATGAATCATGCCTTTTTTTCAGTGTTTCTAATGCTCTGACATTTGGAGCCTTGCTGACCCTCCAAACAACTAAGGACTGGGAGAGACTGCCCCTCCCAGAGCTAGCCAATTCCTAGAGATTACAAGGGACTCACCTTTTAGCATGCCTTTCATATGCAAGCCAACCATCCAGAACCCTCACCCTACCACCTCCTGCATTAGGAGCACACACTGAAGGCCACCCTCCCCCTGCTGTAATCCCTCCAGGGCCAGGTACCCAACAACTAAGGACAGCCCTTAGGCCCCATGCAGAGCCCATTGAGATTATTCAAACGAGCTAATTCTAAACCCTGCCCCATCTCTTCTTTCCCTGGGAAACTGCTATAAAGGCTCTTGCCATGTTTCTCCTCCCTCTCTCTGCCTCCTGACCGACCCTAGTGCTTTCCTGTATGGTCCCATGTGGCAGGGTGTGCCCCTTCCTCTTGGAAGTGGTAATGAACTATCTTGCCAGTGGCAGTTGTCTCCTGATCTGTTGACCTCACCATATCTGAATAAAAAGAAAATCTTTTTTAAGACAATAAGAAATCCATATTTTACTCTACTTTACCCTAGCCTAAACAAGTATAGCCCAGAAGCTTGGCTTTAGAAATATTTATGACCAAGGGTTTGTTGGCTGCCATGAAATTGTAAGTTATAAGGGCAGATGTACCTCTGGCATTGAACCTGGAAGGGTCAAACTTGTCCCCCAGGTAATGCAGAGTCAAGGCATTTTCTTGAGAACAGAATAGCAAGCCTTTACATCTTCCTGCAGGAGGAAATGGCAGGCATCTACAGAAGGAACAGGTGTATGTGCATTGGGACACTACCACATACTTGCAGTCACATGTTCCAGAAATATTTTATTCAATATTCATAAAGTCAGGCTCTTCACATCTTCCCACCTGTCCTCCCCTTTCCAGACACACAACATCATGAGGGATTCCCTGAGCACACACTTCACTCTCTCTATCTTTGCTCATGCTGTGCCCTCAACCTGGAATGCCATGCCTTCTTCTAGCCATTTTTTTCCATCAGGATTCTATTATCCTTCAAATCCTGGTTTGCCACTGTAATGGGGCCTTCCTACATGCTCCAGCCTGAAGGAATTGATTCTTGCCCCTCCTCTCTGACACCTCTTTCATGTTCCTTGTCTGGCTCTTCCTGGGGGACCATGTTTATTTCTATTATAAAAAATGTATATTAATAGTGAAGACTTTATTGAGTGCTCTGTATTTGGCAGGCATTATGCTAAATTTTTCACCTGCATCCTATTACTGAATGCTTATTCTCACCCTTTAAGGAAAATATTCTTAATCATACCTGTTTTACAGTTGAGAAGGTTTTGGAAGGTTAGGCAAATTGTCCAAGACCACAGTAGTCAAAAGATAAATCCTGGATTTGAACCTGGATTCCTCTGACACAAAGCCTCTGCTCTGAAGAGATGGTGCTGCCCCTTCCTGAGCTACATACTGCCTAGGAGGGTAAGACTGTCTCAGTCATTTGCAAATGCTCTCGCTGTGCTTGGCTCAGTGCTTACAGTGGAGAGTGGATGCTTAATGGTCACTAGACTGAATAAATAATTCTAGTCATGTTTGAAAATTATGAATTGCAATTGTTCCTTCATTGTGCTTTCTCACTTATCTGGTAATATGCTATTACCTGGATTTCCCCATGTCAATATGAATTTTACATAATCCTCCACAGGAAACCATTTGGCCTCCATTCTATGTAACTAGCTGCTAAGACAAAGACAACAGGTTCAAGAGACATTTCCATCCTTAGAAGATATCCTCAACAATCATGAGGAGCATGAGTAGAGCGCTTGGCCCCAAAGAACACTCGTATGCATTGTATCCATTTCACCCCTTCCTAGTCAAGTGACCTTGCACCTGTAAATCAGGATAAGAGGACTCCCTCAAGGGGGTGTTGTGAAAATAGCATGATGTAAGGCAGGTAGAGTGTGGGCATGAAGTTTGACACATATAGAGTGCTCAGTAAGCTGTTCAAAAGGAAGGAGTAGGAAGAGAAATCATAGCTACAGCTCACTAAATACACAAGAAAAATCACATTCGATGAGCACCTGCTCTGTAAAAGGAGTTCATCCTTGTCTACACTGTATTGTCACTTCAGCATCCAATGAGCTCTCCAAATGCTCAACAACAGGCTGGAGGAAGGAAAAGGCACCATGGCAATGAGAACCAGCTTTTCTAAGACACAGGGGTTTAGAGGTGAGCAGATTTTAGACAGTGAATTGACTATTCTGAGCAGAGGAAATGCAAGGAAGAAGCCACCCCAGGGAGAGGGAATGGGCCAGCCTGGCCACAGGGATAGCTGAAGCAGCCCTTTTAATTATTCTACCTCTATGACCCAATGGCCAGAATAGAGAATATGTTCAGGGCTTTGGCATTAGACTGGCTGGAGTTACAATCCTGGTCTGCCACTTCAGACAATGGGGCCTAGAGCAAGTTACTCAGCTTCCTCATCTGTAAAACAGGATGGCCTTATTTATAGGGACCATGCTGAGCACATGCTAGACATAGAGTAAATGCTCAGTTAATGGTAGTTTGTTACTAATATGAGCAGGGTCTATAAAATGGGATACTTCTACCTCAGAGGATCATTGTGAGGGTTCAAGGAGATGACACGCAAATCTCCTAGCACAGTGCCTAAAACACCATAGGTGAGCACTAAATGTGAGGTATGATTGTTAGTAGTGACAGTAATAATATTGATATAACATGCACAAAGCTCAGCTATTACAGCAGGAATTTCCTAGAAGGAAACAGCAAGAAAGAAGATAATATTAAGAAGAAAAATAAATAGCAAGAACATATTATGTGCCAGGCACCAAGCTAGGTCTTTTCCATGTACTAATTTGTTCCTTTACACAGCCTTATGCCTACGTAGTATAATTCCCAGTTTTCTAAGGAAGTTCACACTAATATTCCTTTTCTTTTTTTTTTTTTTTTTTGAGACAGAGTCTTGCTCTGTCGCCCAGGCTGGAGTGCAGTGGCGTGATCTCGGCTCACTGCAAGTTCCGCCTCCCGGGTTCACGCCATTCTCCTGCCTCAGCCTCCCGAGTAGCTGGGACTACAGGCACCCGCCACCACGCCCGGCTAATTTTTTGTATTTTTAGTAGAGACGGGGTTTCACCGTGTTAACCAGGATGGTCTTGATCTCCTGACCTTGTGACCCACCCGCCTCGGCCTCCCAAAGTGCTGGGATTACAGGCTCGAGCCACTGTGCCCGGCCACAGTAATATTCTTAAGCAAGGCTTGGCAAATTGTTTTTGGTAAAGGGCCAGGTAGTAAATATTTTTGACCTTGCAGGATATCCAGTCTCTTTTGCAACGAATTAACTCTGCCATTGTAATGCAAAAGAATCTATAGACAATATGTTATGAATGGGCATGGATATGTTCCAATAAAACTTTATTTACAAAAGCAAGCAGCAACAGGATATGTCCTGCAGGCCATAGTTTGTTGACCTCTGCTTTAAACCATTGAGATTTTGAGGTTGTTACCACAGCTTAACACAGACCACACTATCTGACATAATTACTACCACACTTGACAAAGGAAATCTTGTTAAAGTGTTGCAGAGAAGCAACAGCACTTTTGCATTTCTCTATGAGAATATTTGTTAAAATGGGATCATGTGAAATTGACTTGGGTTCAGATTATTATTTAATCTGGCTAAGTCATATCTGTGTGATTTCTATCCACCAGGAAAAAAGTATTAACTGAACCTCTGGCTGGAAATGCTGTGCCATCCCCTTCTTCCCTGGTTTACTCCAACTCATCTTTCAGATCACAGATTAAGCATCTTTTCCCAGTAAGCCCAGCCTAGAACCACCTTTTACTCTTGCATAGTGCTTAGCTTCCTTTTCTCATTATAATTGTTTTACTGAAATTACTTGATTAATATCTTTCTCTTCCAGAGATGGAAAACTCCAGGAACACTGGAGCCATCTCTGGTTTATTCACTGTGGCATCCCCAATGTCTAACCCAGTGTTTGATAGACATAGTTGGAACTCAATAAATATTTGTTGTACCATAAAGCAATTAAGATGAATCATTAGTAGTCACCTTTCACTGGTAGTTCACAGCGCTGCAATGACCCATCCAAGGTAATGAAATGATATGACAGAGCTATAATTCAACCCAGGTTTGTCTTGATATCCAAGCCTTGCTCTTAAATAGAATACCCCACTGCCTCCCAGGGATCTGGAGATAACAATTGTGGGAAATAAAAGTACCAAAGAAAAGACCATCTTAGCAAAAAGGTAGAGAAGTATGGAGGGAGTTGAGTAATTGCCTTCAAAATGAGAATGCTCAAAAGTTTTCTTTGGTTTACTAAGATGTTTCAAGTGATGACTAACAGATGTCTTTTGTTTGGCCTGCACACTATTGCAAAATAATTTCTTAAATTAGTTGCCAGCATTGAAAAAAAAGAGAGAGAGAGAGATTCTACCCAAAAGTCTGGATTTCCTGCTTCTCTTAGAGTCAGAAGATCTGGCAACACTGGGCCTCTGGTTCCTAAGGGGAAGCATCAGCTTTCGATTGGGCGCCGGCTCTCCAGTTATGACAGTTCCCGCTCAGCCAGTTTCTCTGATTTATGAAACCCACTTGGACCCTATCACATTGATATAAAAACCCATGGATTTTATGGAGATTCAGTGGAGGCAATTTTAAGGGAAGAGGACTATGAGCTAAGTAGAATGGCAAGAGAGAGTGATTAGCTTCCTTTTGAAAAGATATCCAAAGAAAAGAAGAAAGGAATGGAGAGAGGGAAGAGAGAGATTGTAGTGTTGAGATTAGAAGCCAAAATGAAACTATTGAGGAGGTGGGAGGTTTTCACCTCAGCTGTAATTTTTTTAAGTGTCTAAATAAACAGGGGAAGTAAGAAAAGGTCAAAACTCTATAAAGCAGCTCCTGACACATGTAGTGCTGATGGAGGGAATGTCCACAGAATGATTCTTGTTAGAATGATCTGATATAGTATCCTGTGATGCAGAGGGTTCAAATATCTGAAAAGAGTTACCATGTGCAAAAATCTTAGTAACTATTTCATTCAGACCTTCCACACCTGGGAGCTTTGATTAAGAGCAGGGATCAGCAAACTACATTCTATAGAGAGGTCCACCATTTTGTTTGCCAGGCCATCTGATAACTGAACTTCAGGTCCATTTTAGAGTTAATGTTGGCTGGCCAGTAAATTTAATAATCAGAATATGTTATATACTATAAGGAAGGAAGATTGCTTCAGTTCCTGGAGGTAAAAGTACTGATAAGTCTGAAAAGGAAAACAAAAATGACCCCAGAATCATGCAGCTGGAAGAGCAGTGAAGTCAGGACAGCCCTAATTTGAAATCCTGCATGATTACTGTTTAGACCTGTGGCTTTGGAATATTTACTTTACCTCTAGGCCTCTGTTTTCTCACCTGTAGAATGGGGATAGTTCTATCTATTTTGCAAGATTGATATAAAAATTTACTAAGACAAAACTTAGTAAATGTATATCTGTATGTCTGTATGTATGTTTGTATGTCTGTAGCACATACAAGTCACTCTTTCTCGGTTCATCGATCTTTCTGAAATAGGTGTAGAAAGGTTAACTATTTGCATTAACTCGTATTGTCTTTACTTTTGAAAGTATTAGCAAAATGTATAATTGTAATACAATAAAAACAATTAGAACACTCCTGGATTTTCAGCAAGTACAATGTCTTTCTCTAAAACAAAGATGTATTATTTCAAAAGTATACATGGCTTACTTGAACCTATATACAGAAAGCATATCTATTATGAGTATCCTTATGACTTAAGTTATTTAAGTTTTTTATATTAATTTTCAAAAATACAAATGCTCCAACTCTCAAAGATTAAAAGTCCAGGCATTCTGTGCAGTTAAATATTTTTTCTTCTTAAGCAAGAGTTTTTACATCTTAAGGCTGAACTTTGAAGATACTGTTTATCTTTTGCATGTTTAATTAAAACTCTTAAATTTAATTCAGAAAGTCTCATTAAACCTATGCCTTTAGAAGGTTATTTTAGCAAAGCTTATATGTGTATATATATTTTAAACTAGGTGTTAATATAAACATGGGCGTTTTCTTCAAGTTTTTTCTCAAGGAAACTACAATGTTTGAGGCTTACCGTGCCCAGGAGTTTCAATTCCTCCCTGCAGCAACAGAAAACAAAGCAAATTGCTGCCACATGTGCTTGACTTCAATCCACACCAACTCTATGGATCCCACCTACAGCTCAGCCCCACTCCAGGGCAGAGACACACTACTGCACAACTGGCAACTGACAAAGGACTTCACCAAGACTATTTTGGCTTTGCCAAAATGGATGAAAGGTCACATAGTAACATAGTCTGGTTCTTAAAAATAAGTTTGTAATGGCAGAAACATTGGAAACAACCTGTTTATCTATAGGGGAATGATGAACTAAAGCACGGTATGTGGAGTAATGAGTAGCCATTGACAGGGAGGCAGGTCAGTATGCACAGATGTAGAAGGACCTCTCAGGCACAACAAGTGCAAAAGGCAAATTATTGTATTTCGTATCCCATATGATTTCATTATGTTGGGAAGATCCCAACAATATACATATAAATCCCCACACTTACATACAGCATTTAAATAATCTGAAGAATACACTCCCCAATGATAATGGTGGTGGCCCCTGGAGAAGGGGTGCAACTTCAGTGTGTTTGGAAAGATGCAAGAGGGATTTATTCTCGGTTTAAAATTTTTTGTTTTACCTTAAAAAAATTTTTTTTGACAATGCAAATGTAGTTTTGCATTACTTTATGATTTAAAAATAAATCAAAGCCATCCGCAATTCCAAAGAAGTGTTCTCCACTATAAAGAAAGAAGTCTGGTTGTCTTATTTTGGCCCATTCAGGTTGTGGTGAGTAGAGACATATTCAGATTTCACCAGGTAAAGAGGGCTTATGAGGGATCACAGGTACCCAGAAAACTGTAGGCAATAGGATGGCCAGGTCTTGGGGAGAATGATGACTCCCTTTCTAATTTACCAGAGCAACGGGTAGCTCAGGAAAAATGCCCGAATGCCCGTAAGTCTTATAATGCAATCTCCTTTTGCCACTGCTTCTGCTGCTTTAGCAACACCCTCCTGTCTCTCCACTTCATGACTGTTGCTTGCTCCTGGATTCTGCTGTCTCGTCGCTTCTGCTAAGTCCCTTCTCTTCACACCTCTCTTAATTTCTCTGCTACTTTATGGGCTTTAAGTCTTCATACCGCAAGTTCAACCACCCCAAGAAAACACAAAGCATAGTTGATGAACTTATCTACCATTCAATACACATCTCTTATCTCATTTAATCCTTGAAACAGCTGTTGCCCATTCAGTTATTCCACAACCCAGTAATTTGTCCTCGATTCCTCTCTTCCCAACCTCCTCCATATCCAATTTCTTCCCACATCCTGACATCTGCTATAGTCTGAATGCTTATGCCACCCACCCCCAAAATTCATATGTTGAAATATTAACCTCCAAGGTGATGGTATTAGGAAGTGGGGCCTTTTAGAGGTAATTAGGTCATGAGAGTGGAGCCCTCATGACTGGGATTCATACTCTTGCAAAAGAGACCCTACAGAGCTAGCTAGCCTTTCTTTCATGTGAGGACACAGCAAGAAGGTGCCATCTGTGAACCAGAAAACTGGCACTCCCCAGACATGGAGCCTGCTAGGACCTTGATCTTGGACTTCCCAGCCTCCAAAACTGTGAGGAAAAAAAAAAATTCTTGCTTCTAAGCCAGAAATTACCAGTTTATGGTAATTTTTTTATAACAGCCTAAAGGGACTGTGTAGACACTATCCTTCCGAAACATATAACAAAATCATTCTCTTGTCTCCATTTCTACAACCATCACTGGCTACAGACCACTGTCACTCCTCACCAGGATGTCTGCAATGGCCTCGCAGCCTCTACTCTGGCTCCACAGAGGCCATTCCTCACACAGCAGTCAGAGTGGTTGGTCTTTTAAGAATGCAAATCAGACCATCCACCCCTTTGCTTAAATACCTCCTGTGGCTCCCCATTGTACTGTGTCTCCTCTGTAATGCCGGTCTTGACTTCCTCCCCAACAGGCACATTAATCACCAGGGTTTTTGTAGTTCTTTGTTTCTGCCTTTATTATTGAATTTACTCTCTAGTGTTATTTTTGGTTCTGGGTCTATACATAAGGACGCCCTAAGGACAAGGGTATGTCGCCTAACTTACCCAGGGCTTTCTCAGCCAATTTGTATTACAGATAATTGTTAAAGTCCATTCTAACTATGGCCACTTTGCACATATGAAAGTTTTATAAAATAAGAAAGCCTATCAGAATCAGGAAGTACCAAACTCCTAGGATTGATTTAAGGATTATTTGACATTACAGATGGATTTGGCACCTGTAAGTGTTTAATAAATGTGATATGCTGCTATTATTTTATTCTTAATGATATATAAGACTTCCTGTTGGCAAAATGTGTTAAATTGCATTAATGCCATTAGTGACTTCATTCTACTGATTTTTCCAATTACAAGCACCTAAGGGAAAAATACTTTAATTATGTCAGTCATCTGTATAAGGCATCAGTTTGCCAGTAAAAATAAGAACATAAGAAATATTCCTGACTTGAATTACAAATTTCAGCTTACAGAAGTATAACACCCAGGATAAGGGTGTACGTAACAATTTATCTCTAAAGGACTGGCACGAAGCACCATGAAGATGAAGACAAATGCAAAGCTCTATTCACTTTTTCATAGTGGTCAATCAATGCAACATCTTCCTGGGTTCTGAAAAATTCCCAAACCTTGTAAAGATTCTTTGATCTAAACCCACACTTACAGTAGCTGAAAGGAGGGAATTGAGCAAAACCATACACCACAGAAGGAGGAAGAAATATAAGACAAGAAGGCTCCATTCTCAAGAAACTGAGAGTCAATTTAGAGAACAATTCTGGAAACTCAATGTTGAGTACTGTGCTAAGGCACAGCAGACAAAATGATTCAGGAGACATCATCTAGAGATGACGAGCACCAACAGGTGTCTGCCAGGACATAAAAATATGTGGAGAAATGGAGATGAGAAATATGGCCAAAAACAAAGAAAAAAGTGGGAAATGAGCTCATCAGGAACTCAGCTATATAAATTCTATAACTGAACAAAAGAAATGTTTTCAAATCACTGTCTTATTCTCTGAAATCTTACATAAATTAGTGAGCATCCTTATCTTTTTTTGCTAATCTACAGTACATTAAGATATCTTGATAATGATCTTACTCTATTGTATTTCATCCAACATGTGGTTTTACTTTGAAATTCACTTTCTAGAGAAAATGAGCTTCCTTCTTCTAGACTGGGATTTAGATAAACTCAATTTACAAAACATACGTTTTAACAAGTCCATATTGAATCTGCTTCAGCCTGGAGAAAGAATAAAAGAAAATAAAATTAACAAGGTCTTATTCCCTGTATATTATCTTTCATAAATCTTCTCTCTTTCTAAAATATGTAGGATAAATATTTAGGATTCCTTGAATCAGGCTTATGTTTTACTCATCAGAAACACCTAGACTGTAAGATTCACGGAAGACTCCAAGCAGGCAAAATAAAGTTTTCTAAACTTTATTTAGAAATCTGAACTGAGAGTAAAATAGAAATTAGGTTCCCCAGTGACTGATACCAATGTGGGTAAAAGAGATGATGTCAAGCAAAAATCGTGTGGCCATCATCTGTGCCTAGCAGCCCAAGGCACTTCCAGGGAAGTTATCATGAACTGACCCTGACTAAATGGAGTGAGTCATCAGCAGGTCCCTGACATCTGCCAGCTGCAAAGTCTTACAGCGACTGGCTAGATTGAAAAAAGATTTCCGAAAGTTTCAACATAAAAAGCCCAACTGATTCCACTTCCCTATCAGATTTCCCTGGGCTTGCTTCTAGGTCTTTTACATCCAAATTACCCTCTCATAAAAACAAAGACTTAGAAAAACTGCAAAAAGTTAAAATGACTCTTTCCTTCTGAAAGTATACTTTAGCTGAGTCGATAAAAGGTCTGAAATCATCTTTATGGTTGCCATCATGTTTGGAATAATTTAGCAGCAACAACATCTGTATAAATGAGGACATGAAGTCCCAAGGTAGGTGGGAGACTTCCTGTGGCTTATCCATGTCAATGGGAATAAAATTCAAAGAGCCCATGCAGGCAACTAATTTACTTTTATTTCATTTTTAATGTTTTATTATATAAATATCAAACATCGACAAAAGTTGAGAAAATAATGTAATGAACTCCATGTACCCAATTCTCAACTTCAACAAGTATCCACTTAGGGCTACTCCTGTTTCATCTGACTGCACTCTCCCTCCCCATCCCCCTGATTATTTTAAATAAAATCCCAGATATTACATCATTTCATCTATAAATATTTTAGTATAATCTTTAAAGATAAGGATTCCTTATTTTTAAAAATTCCATCTTCAAACTTTAGAAAAATTTGCCAAGTTTCATTTTTTAAAATGGCAACAAAAATTTTAAAACAGAGTCATTTGTCCTACTAGAATTTCCCATGATGGGGAGCTTGTTCACTATATGCAAATCAATAGAGGTGATACATCATGTTAACAGAATGAAGAACATAAACCATGTGATCATTTAAATAGATGCACAAAAAGCATTTGAAGAAGTTTAACATCCCTTCATGATAAAAACTCTCAACAAATTAGGCATAGAAGGAATGGACTCCAACTAGTTTGATGACATGATCTTACATATGGAAACCCTAAACACCTATAAACCCAACACTGTGAGAGGTTGAGGCACAAGGATCACTTGAGGCCAAAAATTTGAGATCAGCCAGGCAATACAGCAAGACCTCATTTCTACAGAAATAAAAATAAATTAGTTGGGTGTGGTGGTATGTAGTAGTCCCAGCTACTTGGGAGGCTGAGGCAGGAGGATTGCTTGAGCCCAGGAGTTCAAAGCTGCAATGAGCTATGATGGTAGTACTGCTCTCCAACCTGGGTGACAGAGTGAGATCTTGTAAGAAAAAAAAGAAGGAAGGAAGGAAAGAAAGAAAAGAAAGAAGGAAAGGAAAGGGAAGGAAAGGAAAGGAAAGGAAAGGAAAGGAAAGGAAAGGAAAGGAAAAGAAAGGCAAGGCAAGGCAAGGCAAGGCAAGAAGGGAAGGGCAGGGAAGGGCAGGGCAGGGAAGAGAAGCCCAAACACTACACTAAAAAACCCTCAGAACTAATCACCAAATTCAGTAAGGATGCAGGGTTACAAAATCAATATACAAAAATCAGTATCATTTATATAGGCTAATGGAGAACTATGTAAAAAAGAAATCAAGAAAACAATCCCATTTACAATAGCTGTAAAAAAATATATAAAATACCCAGGAATAACAAATGAGGTAAAAGATTACCACAATGAAAAATATAAAACATTGCTGAAAGAAACTGAAGACGACACAAATAAACCAAAAGATATCCCATGTTCACGGATTGGAAGAATTACTATTTTAAAATCTCCATACTACCCAAAGCTAACTACAGTCTCAATGCAATCCCTATTAAAATATCAATGACATTCTTCACAGAAATTGAAAAATAATCCTAAAATGTGTATGGAACCACAACAGATCCCGAAAAGCCAAAGCAATCAAGCAAAAAGAACAAAGCTGGAGGCATCACACCACTTAGCTTCAAAGTATACTATAAAGCTATAGTAAACAAACCAGGCTGGCCGCAGTAGCTCACACCTGTAATCCCAGCACTGTGGGAGGCTGAGGCAGGCAGATCACTTGAGGTCAGGAGTTCAAAACCAGCCTGCCCAATATGGCAAAACCCTGTCCCTACTAAAAATAATTAGCTGGGCACGGTGGCAGATGCCTGCAATCCCAGCTACTCGGGAGGCTGAGGCAGGAGAATTGCTTGAACCCAGGAGGCAGAGGTTGCTATGAGCCAAGATCATGCCACTGCACTCCAGCCTGAATGATAGAGCAAAACTCTGTCTCAAAAGAAAAAAAAAAAAAAACCAGCATAGTATTGGCATAAAAACAGATACATAGTCCAGTGGAACAAAACAGAGAGTCCAGAAACAAATCCACACATTTGTAGCCAACTGATTTTCAACAAAGATACGAAGTATACACAATGGGGAAAGGATAGTCTCTTCAATAAATGGTACTGGGAAAACTGGATATCTACATATAGAAGAAATAAATTAGACCCTATCTCTCACCATATACAAAAGTTAACTCAAAATTGTCTAAAAACTAAAATGTAAAATCCCCGGAGGCGGAGGTTGCAGTGAGCTGAGATCGCCTGCACTCCAGCAAGACTCCATCTCAAAAAAATAAATAAAAATAAATAAATAAATTTTTAAATTTTAAAAAAAAGATTTGTAAGTGAATAGTGCTCCAAGCACCAACACAAGCTCTCCTATTCATTAGGTACTTCCATGCACTTACCCTGTTTATATGCTCAAGGTCTTTGTAGGGCTTGTTTTACAGTTCACTAGACTGAATCTTCTATGAATCAATCCTACTGGAAACTCAAGGACAAAACAAACTCCAAACAATTCTTAAGCTTATTTTCAATAATCATATTATGGGTAGTAATGTTGGTATTTATTTCTTGTTTATATCTGTGTCTCCAGCACCTAGGACCATGTAGGCAATTTAAAACTGACGCACTGGAGATCCAATAAAAAGCTTATCAAAATGATCACCTAATACACACGTACACCTAATTTCCACATCTAAGTGCTCCATGTCTTTCTCACACACACACATACATACACAGGGCAAAATGCAAATGTGGTTTAAGTTTTTCCAAATTAAATGTTTAAAATTGATATGTGTCCTTACCCAAATGTACTTTTTGAATTTGGATGAGAATGAGGTTGAAAAGTTGACAAATCCTCATGCCACTCCCTCAGTGACACCTAGGTCTCTGAACATCCCCAGCAGTTCTGTGACCCCTCCTGATCATTTCTTTCCCTCCTTCTGGTACTACTCTTAGAAGAGCTGTCAAAGACAGTCATCGCTGTGGAGAGAGCTGACCCTTCTGGCCCTGGCATTGCTGGGGCTGGGCAAAGGAGTCACACTCAGTAAATGAGGAGTTGGATCTTCTCTTTTCCTTCACATTTGACCAGATCTTAATAACCAAACACAGAATCTGTCCCGTTTCAAATTAGCAACTGCCAAGTAGTATTGTAGGAGCCAGACGTTGTTCTGTTATAGTCATAAGGATTTAAGAAATCATCTACGTTTGAAAATTTTAAAAAATGCAATAAAATAAATTTCACAGACCTCAAGGTAGAAATGCTTGCAATAATGCCAAACTCCTAAAGTTAAAATGATCCTTAACTACACAACTTATTACCTCAAGTTGTATTCCTCCCTTTTTCTTAATAAGACAAAAGGAGGAAAGTATATGTCTGCATGGAATAAATATCTGTATTTAATTTAAGAAAGATAAAAGTTCGTATGAAAATGGGTGAAAAATCCTTGCAGAAGCCCTGCTATTTAACTTCACTCTTGACATTTTGGTTTGCTGTGTAAATATACGTAAAGAAACCCAACTACAGCAAATATTAGCCCTTTTCCAGGGGAATGGAGGGAAGTGTGACAAACGTGGATCCAGTGTCAGGAAAGCATAATCACAATGTAAACTGGTTATTTCCAAATGGTGCCCCTCCAAAGAAAAAGAAGGGAATGGAAGTACTTAATAAATTCTGTTTTCCATAAAATTCATTTTAAAAAGAGTAAAGAATGTGAACTCGGGGGTCAGTAAGAGTTTTGTTGGATTTCCCTCCTCCTAAATTCTGTCATCTCCTTTTTAAAGTGGCCAGTCAGCTTCCCACAGACATGACAGAAATACATTCTTTTTCTTCCTGCAAACCATTTACCAGTAAGTAACACTTAGCAGAGGACATGTATTTTCTCACAGACGATTGGCTAATTGGATATTGTCGCTTCCACTTGCAGCTTAATATATTATAGACAATGACTTTTTCAAACAGAAGTATAAACAAACAAAAGCACTAATGATCCATTCATTTTCTTTCAAAGAAAATAAAGAGCTCTGACTCGATACCTCTACACCCCAAAACAATGGACACAGATTATGAACAGATTTAATGTAGAAATTAAAGTGATTCTGTTATCTTAATTACATATTTGGTCATACAGGTCAAATAACATCCTAATGAGCTCAAAAAGAAGGTCCAAATTCTTTTGTTCCACTGGAAAAATAAGTTGCTCAAAATACATTGACAATGGGCTAAGGTTTGGAAAGTTTTTGATTAAAAAAGGATTTTTGTTGGAACACTTATAATGAGATTTGAGTTGCAGTAACAATATGAAATTGAAAGCAGAATTACATACAAAAAGAGTACTGTAAAATATCATTATTTTAGTACAATGGAAAATAAGGTGTTTGTGGTTTTACTCTATAAATTCTGTGTTGTCTGCTCATATGTATTCCTTCTTGGCCTTCCTCTGAATAGCCATTCTGATTTCCAAGCCCTTCTGCACCAGTACTCATTTGTGGTGGGGGGACCCACACAAAAAACATCTCCTAGGCTCTACTTTCTTCCTCCATTTTATTGGCTTTTCAGGACGAATTCATGTACACCCATCACATTGGTGTTCAGTTACCGGGCAGACAATGAATTTTCCTAATCCATTTAGTGTGCTGACAGAGCCATGTTCACAATTTATAGAATTTCCTTTTAGACATTTACGTATTTCACAGTTCATTAAGATTCAAACTGAACACCTGTGTTTATAAAGTCAAAAGCAATTTTATCCTAACAAGGTGTTAAATAAGGCGTTCTCTGAAAGCCTGAACAACAATAACAACAACAAAAGTACTAGACTCTTGACCTGTAGAACAAAATGATGCCTGTAGCTACCTGCACCATCCTTTAATAGTCCAGAATTTGCCACAGAACAACCATAAAAAGCTTTTATGACAAACTTGGGATGCTCCCTTCCATCACATTTCAATTTCTCCATCACAGGTCTTTCATGTTCTGCCTTAAGAAAGCAATAGCATGAGGCCACTCTGCAAAGTTCACCCAGGTAGCTAAAATCTGCAAAAGAGCTTAAAAACTTTAGAAGGTAAATGTGGCCCCTATAGACAATTCCTTCATTTGCTAGATACAGGGACATTTTCCGCATTCTAAGGCTCACAAAGCCTGACCTTGCCTCATTTGTATGTGACCCCAAAGTTTTCACATCATTAATAAAAAGAGAATCAAAACAAAGCCTACAGACATTAGGGGAGGGGAAAGTGTGTTGTTTGGCACTACCATCATCCATACTCTCAAAATGGAAAGGGAAAAAAATAAAATGCACATAGACGAGGTGGTGACCCCTATAACGACTATGGTTCCCAACATTTTTTTTCCTACTGGTAATAAACCATTTTGCAGACCTCCCAATTGTGGCCACCATGATAGTTACTGTTTTGCAGGTTTATGTCTTTTTCTTGTAGTTAGAAGTGTTATCAATAAAAATTTCAAATGAAGCCTTTCCCGTCAAATAAAAACATTTTAAAATGTGAAGCCAACAGCAGGATTAGGGAGGAAAAATACAAATGACACCAGGGCTTTGTTTTGTATATATATTTTTCTTTTACCAAGTCCCTTAATTGATTAGTTTTAAAGACATTCCTTGCAAGTCTTGAAAGTGAGATAAATGCATCCTAAATGGCACTGGGGTAATTTAACAGTCTTAAAAGTTGATTTTGTTGTATGCTACTAACTTTTCTAAAAAGCATCTTAATTTTGAATGCAGTGACTATGAAGGGCATTAAACAAAAAGCTATCTCAGAAAGGACATTTAAATATTATCCTTTGAAGGCTGAACTGATTAAAAAGGACTTTACTGCTTGCCAGTCAATTATGGCAAGGGGTGAAAAAAACCTGAAATTATTGTTTAAAAGTAAACTGGTTACTAAAGGATAGGAGAAGAGGGGTGAGGGGCGAAAGGGAAAGGTTGGTTAACAGATACAAAATTACAGCTAGATAGGAGGAATAAATTCTAGCGTTCTGTAGCACTGTAAGGTGACCACAGTTAACAATAATTTATTGTATACTTTCAAACAGCTAGAGAGGATTTCTAAGGTTCCCAACACAAAAAAATGATAAACATTTGTGGTGACAGATATGTTAATTACCATGAATTGATCACTACACATTGTTGACATGTATCAAAATCACCGTACCCCATAAATATGTACAATTATTACACGTCAATTAAAAAAGTAAAAGATCACTTCTTGTAAATCCCACCTTATATGCTATGGCAAATACTATTTCCAACCATTTAAAAAACTCTTTTGCTCCAAATGGGTCAGTCCCAATGAATAAGTAGTTCTTTTAAGTATTTGGAATAGTTTGCAAAGCCCCGTGTGAATGCATACAGTCCCACAGTCCCTGGAGGCCACAAAGCATTCCCAACTCCTTGTCATGGTTACCTTTAATGCCCAAGAGTTGTAGCTTTACCAAGAACTGGGGGACAGAGGGCCCATCTCAAGGCAAATAAACTGAGAAGCAAGGCCATGTAAAATGTGTTCTTTTCTCCATGTAACAACATTTTCATTCTCAAAAGTTTGGTTTTTATGATTCATCTTGCAAACTGACAGCCCAAGTCTGCTCTCTAGTTTGTGTTATCACACTGAGTCATCTGTGACTCAGAGACAGAAAAATGCTGCCACGGGCTCAGAAAACACCTCCTCCTCCACCAGCACCTTACACAACCTCCCTGAAGAAATTATCATTGCTGCTTCTGTTAAAAATTCATTTAATTTGGGAGGCTGAGGTAGGAGAATGGTGTGAACCCAGGAGGCGGAGCTTGCAGTGAGCTGAGATCACGCCACTGCACTCCAGCCTGGGCGACAGAGCGAGACTCCGTCTCAAAAAAAAAGCATTTAATTTTTTTTACTATAAATGTACGACATGTGCATCATCATAGAAAATTTAAAGATCACCTGGGTATCCAACAATCAGAGAGAACAAAGTCATACACAGCCATCCATTCTTTTATTTGTTTTTACATAGTGTGCATGCATATATGAATATATGTGTATGTATGTGTATGTTTGTATATATATAAACGTCTTTAAACATATTTAAGGAAATAAAAACTAAATATTATATGATAAACTTTTCTTAATATACTAGGATTCTAAACTTCCTGAAAACAATACCCTCCCTAGAGTTTGGGCAATGACCTTCATTATTATGGCCATAGTGTCACTATTATTATAGCCATAATGTTACCACGAGGATTTAAGCCTCAGAGTTATTCATTCTTATCCCCCTTCTTAGCCATGTCAGAGTTATGCCTAGAAAGCATTCTTGAAAATTCCGTGAACTCACCTGTCAAGACAGAATTATAAAACTTGCCACAAATTTTGCCTTTAAGATTAAATGAGGCCAGACATGGTGGCTCACGCCTGTAATCCCAGCATTTTGGGAAGCTGAGGCGGGCAAATTGCTTCAGCCCAGGAGTTCGAAACCAGCCTGGGCAACATGGCAAAACCCTGTCTCTACTAAAATACAAAAATTAGCTGGGTATGGTGTTGCATGCCTATAATCCCAGTTAGTTGGGAGGCTGAGGCAGGAGAATTGCTTGAACCCGAGAGGCGGAGGTTGCAGTGAGCCGAGATCATGCCACTGCACTCCAGCCTGAGCGACAGAGCAAGACCCCGCTGCAAAAAAATAATAAAATAAAATAAAACAAAGATTAAAAGAGATAAGTCATCTTCCTGACATGAAGAAAGCCCTCAGTCCACTGGGACTCTCATGGAAATCACTAGATTCCTAGTTAAAGGCATTTGGAGCTGGGAACCCAGACATTGCCATTTACCTCTGTATGACCTTGAGCAAGTTATACATCCTCTGAGCTTCTATTTCATCATCTTAAAAATAGGGGCAACAATACCAACTTCACAAGTGGTGAGTCAGTTTTAAAATATCACATGGAAAACACTCAGCTGCATCTCCTGGAACTCAGTGTAGCAGCCATAAGACACTCAGTAATAAAATTACATTTAAAAGGCTAAGACTATCAGCTCTTGAAATTACGGATCCCCACCTTGTCCAGCACCTTGCACAGCATAGATGCCCAGTATTATCAATATTATCAAATATTATCAAATGACACCTCACTGATTTGGACACATTGTGGGAAGGGTCTGTGTGACATACCACCAGCTAAAGCATTTCCAAGTCTATGCAGGAACTCCCGAAATAATGAAGCTAGCAGAATGCCTGCAACTCCATAAATATCATCTCTTTTCTCAAGAAGGAGAACCAAGTTGCTTGAGTGTGACCTCAAAGAGGATCAGCTTTAATCAAAAGATAGTCTCAATATTATTAGGGTAACCACCTTAGCAATATTAGCCTTCAATTATAAGAGATACAAATAGACACTTTGAACAGTTGCATATTTTAGTCTTCAAGGGAGCGAAATATCTATTTCTTCGTGTCTTCTTTCCTTCCTTTACTTATCTGCTTTTAAACAACAAAAGAAAGATCAAGATTCGGTGTGGAATTATTAGTAATCAATGATAATGAAATCACTGGGAGTTTATGGTACCATAAATCAGTTCTCTAACATATATCCACGTGTCTAAAAGAACGTTTGCTCAATGATAGCAGAAACCATATCTGGCACATAGTAGGCATTCAAAAAGTATGTGTTAAATGAAAAAATGCATGAAGCCCAGAGAGCAAAGATTATTAATGTGAAGTTCTTGGAAATGCTCTAGAGCATCTATAAACTACCTGAAATTATATACACTACTGCATGTGAATATTAGCATGTATGTGCCCATGTGGATTTTTTTTTTGGTGGGGGGGTTTAATTGCATAAGATTCTCATCTGTGTTGATTATATTTTTTAGAAGTTATGAACCCTTGCTTTGCAGCTGCCACTATGTTGCCCTTGCCTGCATAAACACAAAACCCCTGCATTCTTTGTTAATGAACGGGTTCTCAAGTGTTTACTCTTAGACAAGTATTATAGAATCCTTCTCTGGCTTATTTGGGACAGAAATTAGCATTATGTACCACTGTCATATAACACATCTTGGAAAACACATGCAAAAATGTTGCCTGGCAGTTTGCAAACCATGCCGAGTTGGAGAAAAGTATACTTGCCAGAAATCAGAAATAAATCTCTCTCTTTTTTTTTGTTTTTTTTTGTTTTTGTTTTTGTTTTTGTTTTTGTTTTTGTTTTTAGATGGAGTCTCGCTCTGTCACCCAGGCTGGAGTGCAGTGGCATGATCTCAACTCATGCTCATTGCAACTTCTGCCTCCCAGGTTCAAGTGATTCTTGTGCCTCAGCCTCCTGAGGAGCTGGGACTACAGGCCCGTACCACCACGTCCAGCTAATTTTTGTATTATTAGTAGAGATAGGGTTTCACAATGTTGGTCAGGCTGGTCTCAAACTCCTGACCCTAAGTGATCCCCCTGCCTCGGCCTCTCAAAGTGCTGGGATTACAGGTGTGAGCCACCACACCTGGCCAGAAATAAAAATCTTAATTTGGAGATAGAACAAAAGAGATGGTCACTTTCATAGTATCTTTATTTGTCCATATCATTCTAAGACATAAAAAAGTGACTCAATTGAAGTATAGAAGTCCGAGGTCTATAAATGCACATACCAAAAATTCAAAAGAGACCCACAAAGTGAAACACAGAACAGATGTGAAGATGACAAGTGAAGTAGAGTATTCAGGTGTGACCTGCCCAAACATCCCTGATAAACATAATAGTAGTAATGATAATAATAACAGCAATGGTGATACCATAATTTATAGCTGTAACCCTTGACTATAATCAAAGCACTTTTCACATAGATGTATGAGGCTGATACAATGACTGCCATTTCATAGACTGTGACATGAAGGCTCAGAGAAGTTCAAGTCTTGTCCACGCCACACAGTTATTGAATAGGGAGGCTGAGGTATAACCACACATCTCCCACTTCTAAATGCTGTGTTTTGTTTGACATTTTACTTTAGATCACAGAATAAATGTTAGGCCTTAATCCTTCCCAGTTTATGGATATGTTGTTAATTATTCACTGAAATCCAGAAAAATCAAGGTGCTAGAGAACACCAATTCATTATTTTCTCTACTGCTGTGGAATTCATGTGTTGGTGGATGGGGTAAGTTGGTACAAAGGAAACATCAAGGGCAGTAGCAAAATAAGAAACTTGGCCTTAGAGTCCTTTGAAGCTATTTTAAAAAGTAAAATGTTATGTTAAGAGCTATGTGGTGTATCTCTCTGTGTATGTAATTATTATTCTATTGATTTATTGCACACATGTCAGAGTGTCTGGGCATTTGTACAAGTTCAAACAAACCAACCAAAGAGCCAAGCCACATAGCCGCAAACCGAGACAGCTTGCCTCCTACACCTCACCCCACCCTTCATCCTACCAACTCCCAAATGCAAATTCCCTGGTAGCAAAACCTTCTTTACAGAGATGAACCGTTAAGCCATGACGTCTGTCATTTATACTATTCTAAAAGAGCAGCCAAAGCCAGTTGATGGCACAGATATAGCAGGACTCTCCCCATTACAAAGAGAGCCCCCTTCTGTTTTGGCAAGAACTTTCAGGAATGACTCAGGAATCAAATTGCAAGGAGCTATCACATGTAACCTCCTTTGAGGATGAGCACCATATCTTTTTTTTTTTTAACCTTTTATTTTAGGTTCACGGATACATGTGTGGGTTTGTTGTATAGGTAAATTGTGTTTCACAGGTTTGGTGTACAGATTATTTCATATGAATTTAAATTCAGATTTTTCATTGTAGGGCATAATGAAACACAACATATCTCATCTTCTGAATACTCACCCACTAACACACCACACAGCAGGTAGAAAGACTCTTATTTACCTCTGCTATCCCAAAGAGTGGGGAAATCACTTTAAAGTATTCTACACTGCTGCCAAAAATCCTCTGCCCACAATCCAACAATTAGAGCAATTTCAACCTAAATTGCTCCCCCTAAGAGACAGACGTAATTAGATAAGTTTCTCCTCTGTTTCCATGTACAAAGAGATCTTAAAAGGAAAAAAAAGGCAAAAGAAAATTCCTCAGCCGTTTCCAGCTGATAAAATCAGTAATCTCATACTCCCAACTTCAAAGCAGAAGACTTAGAAAATCATCTCACTTTCTCTGCACACGGAGAATAATTTTTTTCTACTTCAAAGCACCAACTCTTTATTTGGTCATTTTAATTATTGAACATGGGACGGAAGCTATCCACATAATGTCACCACTGTCTTTTTCATGAAATATGTATAGGTCTAATTTGGACTACATTAATTTGAGAGAGGTAAAATACAGGGAGGGGAATGAGAAAGGAAAGAGGACAAGGAATATAGCCTCCATCAGTATAAGATAGTGAGAAGAAAAGCCTTTCTGACCTGGCTCCTCATTCATTTTCTCTGGAGAGAAACCATCAAGAAACCTGACTGCTGGTTTGGGTAAGCAGACTGCCTTGCTTCTCAAATTCTCTCCTACCCAACAACACACAGCAACACAATTACACTAACTTTATCGGTAATCCTGGTATTATTGACAAAATATGGGTACAAGCAGTTGCTTTTTGAATAATACAGTGAAGAAAAATGAATGCTCTAGAACAGCTGTCAGCAAACTTTCTCCATTTAGGGTACCACAGCCAGAGAGAAGACTAGCTGGGCATTCCAATGCCCACTCAATCCTCTTCCCACAAAATCACAATGCCAGAAATTGGCAAACTTTCTGTAAAAAGCCAGACAGTAAATATTTTCAGCTTTGTGGGCCATACAATATCTATTGCAACTGCTCGACTCTGCTGTTGTAGCACAAAAGCAGCCAAAGACAACATGTAGATGAATGGGTATGGCTGTGTTCCAATAATACTTTATTTACAAAAGCAGGCTCAGGGCCAGATCTGGCCCACAAGCCATAGTTTTGGTTGACCCCTATTTGAGACAAGTACTAGATGGTAGAAATGTTCTCTAGCTGTGCTGTCTAATACAGCAGCCACTAGCCACATGTAACTGTTAGTACTTGATATGTGGCTAATGTGACTATAGAACTACAGTTTGAATTTCACTGGATTTTAATTAATTTTAGTTTAAATAGCCACATGTGGCTACAGTGTTAACACACAATTCTAGATACTATTCACTGCTGCCTCCTCAAAGGAGATAGAAGCCAACTTCCAATTTATAGTATAGATTAAATGTTTGCCTTAAAAAATAAAATACCCATACCTTTGCATTCACAGTGGAACTATACACAACTGAAAATGGTATTTCTTTTTTTTTTTTTTTTTTTTTTTTTTGAGACGAAGTCTCACTCTGTCACCCAGGCTGGAGTGCAGTGGCACGATCTCCACTCACTGCAAGCTCTGCCTCCTGGGTTCATGCCATTCTCCTATCTCAGCCTCCCGAGTAGCTGGGACTACAGGCACCCGCCACCACGCCCAGCTAATTTTCTGTATTTTTTAGTAGAGACTGGGTTTCACCGTGTTTGCCAGGATGGTCTGGATCTCCTGACCTCGTGATCCACCCGCCTTGGCCTCCCAAAGTGTTGGGATTACAGGCGTGAGCCACCGCGCCCAGCCTGAAAATGGTATTTTTTAAATGTGAAATATCTACATCATTGAGACCAAGGTGATTGTTTCGAATTGAAGCATTCAGGTAGCTGCCTATCAGCCAATGGTCAAAGGTATAGGGGCTGAGTCAGGTTCATGCTAAGACCTATCCAATCCAGAAAGTATTTTCTTCCGCCTCTGGACACTGTCGTGCACCTTGACTGAAAGCACAGATCTACTCAACAGTCCCATTAACTCCTAAGGCCAATCCAAACCTCCCCACAGATGCTAAAATATATACATGCAAAGACACAGCTCAAAGAGCCCAAGAGAGAGCATGCATGTTGATTAGAATGCCTTCTAAAGTAATGCACACAGCACAGTGCCTCAACACAAAATCAAGATTCACCACATTTTTCCCTATTGCCTGCTGCATTTGATAACTATTTTATTTACACAATAACTAGCTTGTGTTTTGCATTTCTTAGCAGACCCAAAGATGTAATCCAAGGAGGAAAAGCAAGGAAATAGGATAGTAACATATTTTTGTTGTTCTTCTAAGCATGAATAAGAGATAACAAACCAATATTTCCTTTGAGAAACTCACACAATATCAACTTTCTTCAATGGGTAAAAGAAATTGAAGATACTCCTTAGTAAACAAGAACCCTTTGGAAACATGGGTGCCAGAAGGGGAACCCATACAGAGGATGCACAGCAAAGCAAGGCAGATGACATTCCAGTTATTTTATGATTTTTGATAAAATGAAACCATTCTAGATCCAAGCCCTTGACTTGGATTTACCAAATCTAAAATGCTCCGAAGTATGAAAAAAAGAAATTCCAAGTGTGAACCAAACACCTTTGGTGGCACAACTTGACACAAACTGACAAGAGTCTAATTATACAGTCTTTATTTATCCCACTTAGTATAAGAAATTTTTTTAATGCAAAAATATGCATGTGTTTGTTTATGGGGTGTTGCTACAACTTCACTTGCAGTGTTACACAATCTATACAATGCATCTCACCTTTCTGAAAGCCCAACAAATATGAATTTCAAAATACATCTGGCCCCAAGGGTTAGGATAAAGGGTCTTTGGAGGAAAGTTGTTCAGGTAGGGCAATTTCTATCAATTCAATGTCTCTGCTGTCTAGAATCCTGAGAGAGTGCCTTACCTCAGTCTGAAGGATGGCAGCCCTCTGTTCTTTGGCAGTAAGTGACTCTTTGAGCACTTCAATGTGTTGCTTGCAATCTGAATTTTGATTGCTGAGGGTTTCAAGCTTTGTTTGTAAGGCAAGAAGTTCCGACTCTTTCTTTGAAAGTTCCTGCTTCAGCTGATCAATCTGCAAAACAACAACAAAATTGCAAGAAATTAGAAATTGCTGCCCCTACACTTTACATTGGACAACTACTGATTTCTCTCCATTTCAGCAGCCAGTGATCAATAATCCAACAAGGCAGGCCACGAATTTGCTTAAAAAAGATGGCCTTGGGAATCACACAGTCTTTGGGTTCTGGAGGAAAATCTGTAAAGGTCACTGAGAGTATAGGAAATAGGAATGGAAAGGTCAGCAGACTGCCCTCCATCCCACTGTGGACCAAATTTCACAATGGAATGAAGCCTTCCCAGCCAAACCTACTCATCTGTGAAACCACCAAGTATATTACCACCATGGTCCTGAGGAGAGTCAATAGGGATCTAACATGGGTAATTAAACCAAGGCATAACTCCACAGTGCAAATAATCATTCAAGGGCATCATTTGACAAAAGAATCCTAAAAAACAAGTAAGCACTGGGGATCATCTTTTTGCTTACATTAAATATTGAGAAGATACAAAAAGAACATAAAATATACGTGAGGTATGAGGAAAAATGACCCAAAAAATCCATAATTCAATTCACCAAAAAAGATCACTAGAATTACCCATGTCCTATCCCATTTCTATCTCCTCCCCCCATTTGGAAATAATTACCACCCCAAATTTTGTGTTTATTATTTCTTTGCTTGTCTTTTAGGCTGATCATATATTTTTGCATCCATAAATATACACTATTTGGTTTTGCATGTTTTTAAACTTTATTTGGGCTACAATTTTTTTTCCTACTTTGCTTTTTTTCCTACTCAATCTTATGTCCTGAAGATTAAATCACAATGTTGTACATAGAGTTCATTCATTTTCACTGAAGTAGAGTATTCCATTGTAAGACTTCACCACAATTTATCTGCCCACTCTGCTGTTGATAGAAATTCGGTTCTGTTCTTAGGTTTTTTGCTACTATAAAAAATGCTATTCTGAACATTCTTATACATATAACCTAGTTCACATAGCAATAATATTCTCAAGTGTCTATCTAAGATTTAAATTGCTGAACCACATAGCATATTCATCTTCAATTTCACTAGATAAAACAAAAATGTATGACTCACACCTATAATCCCAGCACTTTGGGAGGCCAAGGCAGGCAGATCACAAGGTCAGGAGTTCGAGACCAGCCTGGCCAATATGGTGAAACCCCCTCTCCACTAAAAATACAAAAATTAGCCAGCTGTGGTGGCAGGCACCTGTATTCCCAGCTACTCGGGAGGCTGAGGCAGGAGAATCACTTGAACCTGAGAGGCAGAGGTTGCAGTGAGCCGAGATCACGCCACTGCCCTCCAGCCTGGGTGACAGAGGGAGGCTCCACTCAAAAAACAAAAACAAAAAAATGTTTTCCAAAACAGTTCTGTTAATTTACATGATCACAAGCACCTTGCAAGTATGCCAACCACTCCACCTCTTCACTAATAACTTATGTCACTGGTCTTTTACACTTTTGCCAATTTGATATGCGTTGTGCAGGTAGATGATCTGCAGAGACATCATCTACCCATTCCTTCATTCCTTCCTACTTGTACACAAATGTCGCTCCTCACAACTAGAGCTGAAGTTTATTTACCCTCTTCTTGAACCTGGGCTGGACTGTGACTTCCTTCTGCCAACAAATGCAGCAAAATAATCAGTATACCTGTTATAGCCCTAGCCTACAGGGGGACTGGCAGCTTCTGCTTCTACCCACTGGAAGCCAGCCACCATGTTCTAGAAGCTCAACCACCCTGTGACCACCATGGTGTGAGGAAGACCATACCAGACATATGGACAGGCCATGCAGAAAGACAGGGAGGCCTGTGGTCATGGTGGCCCCTTTGTCTTGTTTCAGGCCTCAAAGGGAAGAATTTCAATGTTTCATCATTACATTTTGTGTCTGCATTGGTTTTTTATAGACATTTTATTAGGCTTCGCATTATTACAACTATACCAAAAGTATTTTTTAATCAGTAGTGAATTTTTAACATTACCAAACATTTTTTTCTATATCTCATGGTTTATCGCCATTTTTCAACTTTCATATGTTATTGTAATGAATTGCATTAATGAAATTTTTAACCTTAATCTCCCCTGGCATTACTATGAAAAACTCCACTCGATCATTACATATTTTTTATATGTTACTGGATTCAGCTTGCTAATATTTTGTAAGGATCTTTTATTTATGTTTATGACTGAGACTGGTTTATAATTTTCCTATCCTATGCTGTCCTTGTCAGGTTTTAATATCAATATAGCCTTCCGAATGAAGTAGGAAGTGTTCCTTCCTTTAATGTGTTTGGAAATGGTTCCTGTGAAATTGGAATTTTTTTTTTACACTAATGTTCATTAGAAATCACCAGCAAAACCATTCAGAGCTGTTATTTTCTTTTTCCAAAGAACATTACTTACTAATCCACTTTTAATGGCTGCAGGAATATTCACGTTTCTATTTAGCTGAGTCAGTGTTGATACATTTTTTTCCCCAAAGAATTTTTTGTTTCATCTAAATTTTCACACTTATTTGCAGGAAACGTCTAAAAAACCCACTTATCCTTATATCAATAGCATTTATGATTATGTCTTCCTTTTCATTTCTAATATTCTACATTATTAACCTCTCTTTTTTCAAGTTTTATTTTAGCTTTAACCACTCTTTTTCCTGATGAATCTCAGTAGACACATGTCAAGTTAAGTATTCTTATCAAGGAACCAATTTTGGCTATATTGATTATGCAATTACACTTTTATTTTCTGTTTCATTCATGTCTGCTGCTTTTAAATATTTCCTTCCTTCCACTTTCTTTGGGCTTATTCTATTTTCTTTTCCTAACTTTTTAAGTTGGATGTTTATACTAATTTTCAGCCTTGTTTCATTCCTAAGATAATCCTTCAGACTATAAGTCTTGATTTGGTTATCTTTAAATTTGCTTGGTTTCTTATAGTCTCTTGTTCTTTATTCATATTTTCAATCTCTTATTTAGACATATTAAACACACTTATTAATATTTCATAGTCTTTTTCTTATAATTCCAACTTTTGAAGTCTTTGCTTTCTGATTCTGCTATTTATTCTTTCTACTGGCTGTCATTTATGGTGGCCTGTTTTCTTGCAGATTTTGTGATTTTTCTCCTTTTTTTGGTACTGTGTACTAGTTTTTTTTTTTTGGAACTTTATCTGAAAAAATACTTTAAGGCTTATGTGGTCCTTTAGAGAATTTGCCTCTGCCAATACCTGGGGACACTACCAACCAAGAATGTAGCTGCTTTAAGCTACATTATCTACCTGAAGTTTTCCGATCATCTTGCACAGCACATCCATGTAACAGCCAGCTGTGGTTATGGATTCTGAGAACAAATTTTTTCATCTTTTACTTGGCTCAAAGCTTTAAAACAGAAAATCTTCCCTGGAGTCCCCTAGTCTAAGTGTGAGGAGGGGGAATATGGTAAGGTTATTTTTAGTTTGCCTCTGCACTAGCAGTATAGCTGTCTGAGATCCCAGCTTCATGTGGTGGTGGTAATAGGGTTCCTACAATCCCTCATCTTAAGTAGGCCCAGACTTCTGTCTTTTTTCTTCAGTGTCCTTGTGGCTATGAAAACCAGAGCTCAAGTTCATCTATCTGAAAATTGCCAACAAGAATAAATAACCTGATATGGTTTGGTTGTGTCCCCACCCAAATCTCATCTTGAATTGTAGCTCCCATAATTCCTACATGTCATGGGAGGGACCCAGCAGGAGGTAATTGAATCATGGGGGAGGGGCCAGTCTTTCCCATGCTGTTCTCATGATAGTGAATAAATCTCATGAGATCCGATGGTTTTATAAAGGGCAGTTCCCCTGCATACACTCTCTTGCCTGCTGCCATGTAAGACATGACTTTGTTCCTCATTTGCCTTCCACCATGATTGTGAGGCCTCCCCAGCCATGTGGAATTGTGAGTTCATTAAACCTCTTTCCTTTATAAATTACCCAGTCATGGGTATGTCTTTATTAGCAGCATGAGAACAGACTAATACATACATAACCCATGCTCTACTTATCACACAGGCTTCCTGCTATGGCTTAGCTTTGACTCTTGAGGTTCTTTCTTACTCAAGAGCTCATAAGTACATTTTAAAATATATGTTTAAAAATATATTTCATTCAGTATTTTTTGTTGCTTTCAGCAAGAAAACTGACATAAACAATAACAAGCTACTGACAATATTAGCTGAGCATGAACAGGAGTGAGACTCCCATGTTCAGAAGGGTTCAGGTTGCATAACTTAGTAGAAAGGTTGATATGAATGGAAATCCCATTTGCAAGAAGTCAGACTATGTCAGGGAACAAACAAGCTTCATCTTGCTAGCCAAATCTAAAGGATTGGTAGTGGCTAAACAAAAAACGGTCTTGAGAAGGATCCTAAGTATGTTTAAATATTCACTGGGAAAGAATCATGACTGCTTATCAATGTGCCCCAGGTATATGTGAGCAAGTGAGCACTGCTCAGATATGTGCAGTTTCTGAAACACATTATTTCTTTATAATTTAATGAATCATGAGTGTGTGGTCATTTTTATGTGGAACAAAAGTAAGAAGTTCTCTCTCTCTCATACATAACAAGAATATAGTATAAATAAAAACAGGGAAAATCAGAATTAGGATTATCTAAAATGATAAAAGATACTAAAATCTGTTATGATCAACACTCTTCTCAGGGGGGTATGGCCCCAAATTATATCCAGCTGTAGCTGACAGCACAGTTTATAGTTGATTCCACATATGAAACTGATTCATCTGAAATTGACACTCAAAAACTTTCAACTCTACACACCTAAGCAAAGATGATGTTTATAGTGAAAAAACCGATTCGTGCTAACTTCTACAAATACCACAGTAGAAAGCCAGTGTCGGGTTTGGTGTATTGAGAGAGAAATGAAAAGGAAATCAACTGGATATAGACAATAGGGTTTAGTCAGGAGGAAGGGCATGGCAGGGTCTACATACACCTCCTTTAGTCAATAAAAATAGATTGATAATGATAAAACTATTTCAGTCTATAAATATTAAATAGGCAGTGGCTCTAAATAGCTTTCAGGCATTGCTGCCATAAGGTAAATTTTAAATAAATATTTATGTAGACAATAACAGAAAAGAGCCTTTCTAAGGGGAACATAGTTACAGGGTAAAAAAAATCATATTCTCCCATAAAAATATCCCTTTTGCTTCTTTTACAGCCATAAATTCCATAAAAATGGAAAGTGATGCAATCGAACATACATGAGAACTGAGGCCAGGGAAGGTCTGTCTCTGTGACAGCCAGAAGAAAAGCCAATCGGAATTACATCACATGCTTTATATGAAGTCCATGTGGACATCAGGCACACTTCATCCCGTCTGAAAATTCTTCCCCCACTTACGTCTGTGACACAAACTACACCCTGAAAAAAACACTCTGCCAAGGAAAACAGCTTCTTTTTCACTGCAGATATGGCCCTTATGTCTAGAAAGTGATATGCTTACTATCATGAAGTTTGGGTTAGGAGGTTTGTAATCTATCAGAGGTTTATAAGAAAATGTGTTACAAATTCAGAATAAAGGAGGAGATCTAAGACAGCAGATCGGCATCTTTGGCAAACACTGGAAACAGAGGGAGCAGCTAATATAGAAATACTGGAATGAGTAGATGAAAAATGTGCTAGACTAGGAACAAAGCCTTATACAGAAAGGAAATGCCATTATTCTTTCCCTACCAGAAAAACAATTATGTATTTGGTATGTTCCATTCTCCGAGGTTTAATGGAGCTCCTGAAAGTAATTCATGCTTTCCATGGCCTCCAAGATTCAGCTCTCACAGTTTGATTCCTCTAATCCTTCAGTGTTGGGGTAGGAATTGGAGTTTCCAACAGACGAGAGTTACACATCTGAGATCTCCCAGAGGCTCAGTTCTCAGAGACAATGTTCATGTGCCAAAGGACTTGCAAGATGCCAGGATTTCTACCCTGGCTGACTATGTTTTGTATTCCTGCCTTTGCACAAGCTGAGTTTTGCAACCCATCTTCTACCTTTCCAAAAATGTTATATCATGGTTTTTCTATGATGTCATGTTTGTAAAAGCAATTCAGGCATTCACTGACACTTAATTTAATCAAAGAACTTTCAAGAGACCCTACCAATTCCAACTACCTGCTCTGGATCAAAATGGAAGTGCACACCCTTCCATGTGCCTATTTAAAATATTTTCTTTCCCTCCAATCTACATGATTTATTCATTTTAATAGTAATGCAAGCAGTATTCCCAGGCTTAAATGAGGAATCACACTCATCACTCAAAGTAGAATTGGGCTGGGTGTGGTGGCTCACATCTGTAATCCCAGCACTTTGGGAGGCTGAGGCAGGCAGATCACTTGAGATCAGGAGTTTGAGACCAGCCTGACCAACATGGTGAAACCCCATCTCTACCAAAAAAATACAAAAAATAGCTGGCATGGTGGTGTGCACCTGTAATCCCAGCTACTCAGGAGGCTGGGTGGGAGAATTGGTTGAACCTGGGAGGTAGAGGCTGCAGTGAGCCGAGATCGCACCACTGCACCCCAGCCTGGGTGACAGAGTGAGACCCTGCCTCAAAACAAACGAACAAAAAAAACCAAGTAGGGGAATTAAGAAACGTAAGTAATTAATGATAGGAAACATTAGCAACAAATGTTATAGTTCAATCCAATAAGAACATTCTTTCAATGGAGAAAATATTAAAAACTGACCCTTACTAGTACTTTTTAGCTAATTTTTAACAATAAAAGAGGTGTCTGCATGACATAAGAATTCATCTTATTTGTATTTCTTAGAAATCCATTTTTCTCATTAGTCAAGTTAAATATAGCACTTATTGTTATGATTATTATTTGGTTATACCTCTTCAATAATAATGTTTATCATTATAAGCTAGATTTTTGAGCCAGGTACTTTAACTACACTATTGCATTTTAATCTTATTTAGTCCATCTGAACCATCCTGTAAGGTTGGTGCTGTCGCCCCTATTTTATAGAAGAATGTGTGGTCAAGTGACTTTGGTCACTCCTCAAGTCACTCCCTATACAGCTGGCAAAGGCAGGCTGGAGACTTGCTGGAGTCTGCTTTCATCTTCAGCCTGCACTCTTTCCACCTCACTCCACTACTTTCCTCAAACATTCTTCTGACCTGACCACTTCTGGAACCATTAAAAGTAACTAGCCATTAAAAGTTAAATCTAACTCAAGGATTGATGGTCTCTCAGACAAACGTGGGCTAATAAAGGTCATGACTTGCTGAAGATCATATAAATGTTTTATTCACCTGGACAGAGTCCATGATGAGGGGCAGAGTTTACAAATTTCATGACATTTTCAGCTGTAGAAGTGGCTTGAACAATCTCCCATTGTGGAATAACAGAGTCGAGGGAAAAGTTTAAGCCAAAACAATAATTTCCCCCAAACTTCTTGAGTTCACTCATATCTGTGCCTCTGGTCTTCATTTTCAGAATGATTTGGGCACTGTCTGCAGGTCACCCTAGTACTGTGCTTGCCGAACCTCGGCTTAACTCTCTGAGAGGGAGGGACTGCAAGAAAGAAACCAGAGGAAGGACTGCGCAGGGAAACTTATTCTAAACTTTGAGGCAGTCCCTGGTTACATTCAAATCCACTGGACAGTCCCCTCATATCTCCACTCCTTGATCCACGTTTTCAGCACAATCTCAACATCTAGTTAGAGATGGAAAGTTGACAGAAGTATGAATAGTTTTGTGTTTTTTCCTTGTGTATACATGCTTGCATACACACACACACACGCACACACGTTGTGATGAAGTAAACACTGGATAAATATAATTTCCTCCCTATAATTTGCAAACTCAGCAAGGAGTATGCACATATTTCACAACTGATAAAAATCATTTACACATTTTTCTCTCCTCTCCCACTGCTTTCTCACAGAGGTCTGCATTACTCTAACTCTGCTGCATTTCATAAAGCAACAAACAAAATTAAAACCTAGAACAAGAGAACAGGCATATTTAAGAGCAAGTGGTAGAAAAAGAAAAAAGAAAACAAATTTTTTTAATTGGTGTACTTATTATTTTCAGAAGCAAAATGATTTAAACAGAGGAACAGATAAAAGCATCTCACAGTCTCAAAAGACCTATTTGGGCTATTCGTAAATTTAATAATTATGCATATGTAAAAATAATAAATATTCAGGTGCTTGGTCCATTTAAAGCCACAAATTTATTTTTGAAAAAATACAATCCAAAATCTTTAAAACTGACAATAACAATATAAACTAATAGAGCAGGTTACTCTAGAATATTTTATAAAGATTCCTAGCAATAGATAACAATAATAACATGAATACCACTGTCAACAACAATGCCTGCCATTCAATGGATACTTAATCAGACAAGGGACTAAGGGCTTTAAATGAATAATCTCCTGGAATCATCAGACCAACCCAATGACGTAGGTATTTTTCTTATCCCTATTTCACGGATAAAGAAACTGAGGCTTAGGGAAGTTGAATAATTTAACTAAAGAGCAGCATTGGGACTCAAAACTATTTATGTCTTAAACACTATGCTAAAACCAAAATAGCTTAATAACTTTTTTTTTTTGAGATGTAGTCTTGCTCTGTCACCCAGGCTGGAGTGCAGTGGTACCATCTTGGCTCACTGCAACCTCTACCTCCCAGGTTCAAGTGATTCTCCTGCCTCAGCCTCCTGAGTAGCTGGGATTACAGGTGCATGTCACCATGCCTGGCTAATTTTTGTGCTTTTTTGTAGAGACAGGGTTTCACCACGTTAGCCAGGCCGGTCTCGAACTCCTGACCTCAGCTGATCTGCCTGCCTCAGCCTCCCAACCTAATAACATTTAAATGAGTTAAACTGGCTTGTAATCACAAATATTTTGAGACAATCACCTTCTAGGAGAGGCAAGAAATTTGACAACGATAGCAACTTCAAAAAAAATAGCAAACTTACATGATGGTGGAAATTTGGAAGAGAGTGGACTATAAATATGTTAATTCCCAAGGAAGAGGAATACCAAAGGAACTCCTAATTAAAGCCTGAACCTCTCAGTAAGGAAAATTCCATCAAAGGTTTTCCCTGATTGTTTTTTGGAATCTATATGTCTGAACTAAAAATCTTCCGCATTCTACTTTGTTGTCCATATATTAAATAATATCACATAAAGCATATTATATGGAGTATTTGGAAAAAGTATGTATGTAAACTGTAACTTTCTAGTCACATTAAGAACATAAAAGTTTATAACCCTGGACCGTACCTTGGTCTTCATAAACTTGGAGTGACTTTTGTAAACCTCAATTTGTTTGATCTCTTCTTCGCGGTCCTCAGTGTTCAGCACACCATTGGCTTTTAACATCTGGATCTCATCCTCAAGATCCCTTATGTTTCGTTCCAATGAAGCGATTTTTGTGTCCTGTTGGTAAAGAAGAAAAGAAAAAGAAAAATAAAGAATAAAAATTATTTTTAAGATCATCAAAACAGAATTTAAGAAAGTAATTTTGGTAGTGCTGTCACATATTAACCATGGTATAGACAGCCCTGAATTTAGGACAACTTATTTTTTTTCACAGCTGAGGGTCATTTGTGAGATGATAGTTTAAGCTCCCAATCAAGACCATGTGTCAATACAATACAGAGAATTATCTAGATATGTTTATCTAATATCTGGGAATCAAATTACCAAAGCAACAGTGATAAAAGTAATCTAAGTGTTAAAAAACAAAACAGAACACCATTTAAGTGGACAGATTTTAATCTGGGATATAGTTTACCTGTGTATATTTTTGAATCTACTTATAAACACAAAAACAGTTTATGTGTATATTTTATGGCTGGTTTTATAAGGCATGTTTGGAATTTGACTCTGAGAGAGAAAGAAATTCAAATCTACTAATGGGAAAAAGGATTCTCATCTAAAATACAGACGTAAGTGAAACTAAATAACTGAATCTTGACTTGGTATGACTGATACACTAAATATTGAAAATTTATAGTGATTGGAAATAATACATCACAATGTCATAATTTATTTGGCGAGCAGTCAGGTCCCTACGTAACAAAAAACATGACTACCTTGCAGGGCAGTTCAACCTATTGATTTATGGAGCCAACAACTAGAAATATTACACTCAGATGTGGAATTAATTGGGAAAAAATTACCAATGACAGACTCTATACACAAGGTAGAGCATTAGAAACAATGCATTAGAAAGTAGAGAAGAGAGAGCTCTTATAGGGTAACCAAAACAAAACAAAAAAAATGACGAAAAATTTTTCCACAACAGTAAGTATTAGGCTTCAATCGGTCTTTGAAATGAAAGTTTGACACATCGAAAACTGACTTCAAGTTTTCTCAGTGTCCCATCTGCCTGCCATTTTACTGCACAGAGTTAAGGAGCTCATATTAAATGTATAACTGAATGCTAATACAGAACAATCTATCAACTTTTTTAACCAATTCATTTTCTCAGAATCAAAAAGACTAAGAACTCCAAAAGTAAAGACAATGAATAGGCTATTCTATTTATAAGTAACTCATTTTTAAAAACCTTGCAACAAATGTGTCTGTCCTGATTTTGTGGCTATTGTCTACTTTATTTTCCTATAATCTATGCCCAGTGGTATATCTCCTATGGCAATATAGTAATTATCATTGTTATTATCATTAACATTGTCATCATGTTAAAAGGAGGAAAAGAAGGAGCAGTAAATTTATGCAACTCTATTATGTACCAAGAACTGAGTGCTCTAAGTTCTGTAGATACTTTTATTAATTCTCAGAAAAACTTCAAGAAGATGAAATAAAAAGATTTTGAAAATTCCAAGATTATTAGGAAATGGAACATTCTGTAGTATTTCATTTTCCTTTAAAAATAATACCTATTGTATTTTTTCAGTTATAAAAGCAATATACTTTGAATTCATAGAAAATGGAGAAAACCTCTAATCCTACTGTCTAGAAATAACCACCATTAATGTTTTCATGTATATTCTGCCAGTATTTTTCTATTTAGATGCCATTTCTGGAAATATTGTATACTACCAGTTTAAATTCTGAAAAGTGTTATGGACTGAATGTTGAGTTCCCCAGAAATATATATGTTGAAGCTCTAACCCTCAATGTGATGGTATTTGGAGATGGGGCCTTTGGTGGGTAATTAGGATTAGATGAGGCTAGGAGAGTAGGGCCCTCAGAATGGGATTAGAGCCCTTATAAGAAGAGACACCAGGAAGCTGCTCACTCTCGCTCTCTCTACCAAGAAAGGACATGGGGAGAAGGCAGCTATCTATAAGCCAGGAAGAGAGCCCTCACCAGAACCTTATCATGCTGGCACCCTAATCTCGGCCTTCTAGCCTCCAGAACTGTGAGAAAAACAAATCTCCATTATTGAAGTCACCCAGTCTATAGTACTTTGCTAAGTCAGACAAGCTCACAAACATAGGTTCAAGCAATTTTCATGCCTCAGCCTCCCGAGTAGCTGGGATTACCAGCCTGCGCCACCAAGTACAACTAATTCTTGTATTTTTAGTAGTGACGGGGTTTCACCATGTTGGCCAGGCTACTCTCGAACTCCTGACCTCAAGTGATCCACCCACCTCAGCCTCCCAAAGTGTTGGGATTAAAAGTGTGAACCATTGTGCCCAGCCAATATTTCTGTTCTTATATAACAAGTCAGTTTCAAGGGCAAAAGAGCTCATATCTCACATCATGAGCACAGGGAAAAGTAGGTAGGAGAATATCATTAGGATTCAAAGGAAAACTGACACAAAAAATACAGATATATCAGATGGTTTTGGGTTGTGCCCAAGAAGATATTCAAAACGCCAAACCAGAGAAGGACAGAGGGAATATAAGCATGAAAATAAAAAGCAAGTAAAATGGCTGGCATGTCTACCGCTTTTCAACTGCATCAGTCCAAAGAATTTAGAGGGAAGGAATTTTATCATTTTCTTTTTTAAAAATCGCTAACACTAAGATACATGACTAAAACCTAATCTATGTAAGGAGTACTATGGAAGTCCATATCAAGTCCTGATGTGGCTGAATGTGACATACGGATGTTGAGATGCTAAATGCACATGGCTCAGAAACTCGACGCGCTAATCTGGAATAGAGAAAAAAAATACATATATGAAGACATATGTTGTAACTTCCAGAAAAGTGGAGTTTCAGAAAGTAAAGCAACATTTTACGCCCTAATCGCCAAAGAGCTTTCTTCATCTGAACATTTTTACAAGTTATTTATGACTGATATTTTAAAACAATATATGTAGTGATTTTCAAACACATATCTTGATTATATTTCACAAATAAACAAGCTCTGGAAGCAGATAATCGTGGGCCTTCCTTAGAGACGGGGAAAGTGAAATATAATGTAGAGTAGCTTTTCCCAAAGTTCACAGAACCCAAATGCTCCATGAAAAGGGGATTGCAGGGTCAAGTATGTTTGAGAAATGCTTGTTAGGAATTTTCAATGCGCATTAACATAAATGGCTCTGGAAAGTCCTGAAGCAAAATATTCTATTTAATTTTATTTATCACAGTATTACTGCCTCTAGAAGTCAATTCCTGAAAAAAAATTTAGGCTTGTAATGATCACATTAAGCTCTGGGTAATATTACTAAATTGAAGAGTCAAAACAACAATTTGGATTCTTCAAGGGAAAACTTGCCACAATCATCCCCAATTTAAAATGAAGGGGGGGGGGCGCTAAATATCTAGATCAGCCTGCCAGCTTCTGTCACTCAAAAGTGGTTTACTGAGCTCCTGTTCTAAGCCCAGCACTTAAGACAACATCAGTGAAAGAACAGACATGGACCCCCATACTCCTGGAACTTAGCACCTCACGTCTCAGGCAATAGTTTTCAAACAGTCTCGAGATAGGGCAACCATGAAATTGTTTTGTCTTTATATTATATTTTGGTTATGGATTGTAAAGATGTAGAAAAAAATTTTCAGGGAAAAAATAAACATCTAAACAATGTTTGCTTCAGTTAGGAAAAAAGATCTCAATTGAGTGTCTCTTTTCAATCATTTCTTTCTACACATTCATAAAATAATACTTATAAAAATTTGATGCATAAATTGCAGATCATAGCTTCTAATTAAAGATTCATACCCAAGACTATTTTACATCTACCATCTCAAAAAATGCAAAATAGGTATTTGATGGGCAACTAATAAATAAAACACTGGAATTGAACCCCAGAAGCCATTTACCCACTAGGCCCACCGCACTAATGTCTAAGCCAGCCTTAAATACTAGCACTAGCCCATGACGGCTATAGTTATAGAAATGAGGATGAAAGTGGGATGGGAAGATTGAAATAAGTTTATTTCTTCCTTTTCTCTCTCTTTTTTTAAATCTATCTCTAGATTTCTCTAGAACATGTGTGCTATAGATTAATAGTAAACTTAGACAAGGAGTTCTCTCATTCATTCATTAATTCAACAAATACATAGGGCACCTATTGGGAACCAGTCACTTTGCCAGGTGAGTAAGATACCAGGTAGATCTCAAGAAGATCCATGGGCATCCTTCCCTCTCTAACATGAAGGACAGCCTGGATCCATGCTACTCAAAGTGTGGTCACAGATCAGCGGCACTGACATCACCTGGGAGCTTTTTCCACTTGCAAAATCTCAGGCCCCAACTCAGAACTATTGAATCCAAATCCATATTTTCACAAGATCCTCGGGTGATTCGGGTGTTCTAAATGACTGTACATGTCCAGAAGACACAAGGGCCAAGACTGACCAATGCAGAAGACACTAGGGTAACTCTATTTTCCAAATACATTTAGAAAAACATGAATCTAGTTTCAAGAGCCATCCAACTTAACATTAAGTGTACAGCAACCCTGGGAGTAAATTTTCTGGAGTATCTTTGCTAGTCAGGATGCCATTAGTACTCTTTTTGTGTTTTCAAACAGTATGTTCCCCTTAAACAGCAAGAAACAGATTTCAATCCCTCTCCAGGAACTGTGAATACTGAAATGGTGAGTGGGTGGAACATCAAAAAGAAGCAATATCATTTAGTCACAAAAAGTAACAATTATATTATTGCTGAGTGTCACAATGTGCTTTCCTTTTAAATACCGTGAGAATTACTGGTTTCATTTTAATATCAGGCCAAGAAAGAAGACATAAGCAGTTTTTACAGAGCATTGAATTCACTGTGATCACATATTGGTCTACGGACATTGATCAACAAACTTAGGGCCAATATGGTTTTTAAAAGATGTGATCTAATGTTCAGGAAACATACCTACATAATTATATTACACTTTATTTAGAATAAAATTTGAAACTGTTATTACTGGATACCACAGAGGCTCTTAACAGCTTAACTTTAAAAAATCATCTAGTCATAGCTGCAAACACAACTGAGCAGCCCTGGATCTTAGGCTACCTGAGTAAGGCCCTGCCTTGGGAAGGATTTACTGTGTGGGATGACCGTGGTTATATGAGCCCAAGTTAGACACTCCAGAAAGAAGTTGACTTAGGCCTAAGACATATTAGTAAAAAGAACGAATACCAAAAAAATCAAAAACTCGCCTTCTTGGGCCTTGTCAAACTATAAAAGGTGATGACCTAGATTAGAAAATGACATGAGAATTAGATGGTATCTAATTCTTTATGGCAAAATGTACAAGCACAGAAAAGGTTGGACTAGATCAAATGAAAAGCAACTAGGGTGCTTTGATGTTTCTTTTCCTGGTCTTATTTGCCTGCTTCTGACTCATTCTTCATGAAACCCATGCCCTTGGAACACATCCTTCCTGTCATCCTGTCTCTGTGCATATTACTAAGGACTCATGAGCAGATGTGTCTCTAGTGGTTCTTGCTTGACACTGTGTGATCTTTGAAGTTATGATCTCCATATATTAATTTGTTCTTGTTGTTAATGGACTCAGCTCTAAGAAAAAGAGCTAAATCTAAAGCAATCCAGACAGACCGCACATGAAGATAAAACATCTGACCTTTACAGAGTCACAAACCTGGATGCAAATCCTAGTTCAGGCTTTTACAATAAGACTATGCTCCTGAGTATGTTAAGAAAATTACAAGTGAGGTATAATGCATACAAAGTGCCTATCACAGAGCCTACCCTAAGAGAGTGAAAAGTTGTCATTATTATCATAAGCCAAAAACAATGTAGTAAGTCCCTACTAATTCCCCAGTTGTTACTTACACAATTAGAAGACAGCTTCCATTTTTATTTCATCCTGTTAAACTTTCTGAGCATGTTCCTAACCTTGCTAATCCTATAACCTAAGTTTACTACAAGAATTAAATGAGTGGCTACATGGAAGTTTCCAGAATAACAGCTAAAACACAGTAGTGCTCAATAAATGTTAGCGTCCCTCTTGTTTCCAGCTATCGCACATATCTATTACTTTTTTGGTCTGCCCAGCTTCCTTTCCTTTTGGGAACTGCATCTTCGCAACATCCCCATGGTTTTAATAGAGTTTTAAATTGTGTGGCCCTGCCCAGAGACAGGTACCATGGGTCTTCTGAACACAATGATTGATTCAGGGGTAAACTTTTAACTCTAGGAAGGCCAATCAGAGTTCTTTTAGGGGACTAACATTAATCCAGAAGAGAAAAGATCTCTCTCTTATTTTCTGAGTAAGGAAAATGAAAAAAAAAAAAAAAAGAAAATAACCGCATGACTGGATGTGGCCTTCTTTGATATCATGTATTGAGAACCTATCTGAATGATTGGGCCCTTATAACATCATTTGAACAGCTATATATAGCTACATTTGAACCATCCACTCTCCAGAATACCAAATATGAGAGTAAGTTTTCTGTTACCTATAACAGAAAAAATATAATGCACAAGTGATAGCGTGAAAGGTAATGCCAAAATATGTAATGTTCTATAAGTCTATATATAGAGAAGTCAGGAATGGGTAAGATTGCCATAGCAGAGTCAAGAAATCTCCAGAAGGCACAGGAGCCTAACGTGGGGTTTGGAGATGAATAAAAATAATATTATCACAGAGAAGATGAAATTCTTTCCAGTTAGAAGTAATAATACATACAAAATCAAGAGCACTCAGCATGTGCCCAGGATATAATATTTAATAAATGTAAGTTTAAAGAAAAACAGAATGAATACAGAGCATGTATGTATCAAGGAAGAGTAGAATACAGAATTGTTCAAATAATATAGATCATGTTTAGCTGCTGAGGAGTTGGAAATGAAAGGAAGGTGCTGCAGAATGATAATCAGTCTTCAGAATCAAGCTAGGAATTTGTACTAGGTTCTGAAAGCGAGTCATATACTGGTAAATAAGAAGGCAACAAGATAGTCTTTGGGCAGTTAGTAATAAAACCAGATGCCGAAATGAAATTTGAAAACTGTGGAGACGACAAAACCATCACTTAGTGGTGAAAGAATTCTCAGACATAGTTGAGAATCAAGGATAGAGAAAAGGGTAGAAGAATCACCAAAAGAAAGAGGGGCAAAAATCATGGAAATTATGGAAAAGTCCTAGAAAATGAGTGAATAGTTTTAAGAAGGAAGAGGAGTCAAAGGTTTGAAGAGCCTAAAGACTAAGAAAAAAGTTAAGATGGCATTGGTGACATGAGGGTAGTTTCATCGGAGTTGTGTTGCCATAATTGGAAACTGAACCCCAGTGTTTTAAATCCCATGGAGCCAGGAGTGATTCCCGAGTCACTCAACAACCAGTATGGAACAGACTCAGATCCCCACAAGACGGACACCTCCTGAAGCACTGGAACCAGGTCTGGGAAGTCACTGCAGGGCCAAGGATTAACTCTTTAGTAGCTGAATTTGGGGACCCCTAGGTAAGGGGTGGAGTTGGGTGCAGGGTACTCTGAGGGTTTGGGGTAGCTGTAGAAGTGTTGCAATATTTTAGCAACCAATGTAGCTGTACCTGTGCCTCTCATCTGAGTATTGGCCCTGCAAAGAAAACTGCTTCAGTTAATGTCAAGAGCTTTCTACATCCCTAGTGCATGGAAGGGAGCACTGGCTGATTAAAAATCATTTCCATGTGCCTGTAACACACACTAAAGCAAAGGTTCCCTAATGCCAACCTGAACACTAACTGCATCAAAATCATCTAGAGAGTGAGCAAAAAACTACTGATGACTTAGTTTCACCCAAGGACATTCTCTTTTGGAGGATTGGGGAACACAAAAATCCATATTTATTTGTAAGCTCCTCAGCTTGGGGGTAAGAAAACAAACAACAACAAAAAAACAATAGCTGCTATGTATTGATTACCTACACAAGCACTGTGCTAGGAAATTCTCATTTAATATTCCCCATAATCCTATGAATTAAGGATTTATTTTACCCATTTAACAGGTCAGAAGACTTACAGATGGTAAATAACTTGCCCAAGGTTTCCCCCTGGGTAAACTGGAATCGTTCCCTCAATAGATAGGCCTGCCTTGAATAGAAGACAGGAGGCCACATATTGGGACCTTGCTGTCCACAGGCCAACCTCAGAAGGGACTGGCTTCAGAGAATGTATGCTATTCTGGTTCTTTCTTCCACAGTAATTTTAGCCTCTAAAGATCACCGAGCAAGGTCAAAAGAAAAAAGTAAAGAGGCTGGGGAGAGAGGAAAGGGAGGAAAAAATTTTCAGCAACTGCTTCCAGATGAGTGGGCAGTCCCTCCATGTGTGCAGGGCCATCCCCTCAACAATGGGTTGCATGTCATCTTTCATGTACATCTAAATGGAAAGAGGGTTTGAATTCCAGCTGCCCATCCTGAGAATGCCAGCAATTCAGGGAATACTACTTTGCAACACAGTGAATGCATTTTAGGGAGCCTAAAAAGATGGACATCTGACCACTCCATTTCTCTTCCAGTGTTCTTTAGGAAAAGATTGAGTGAGGAAGCTCTCTCTCCTTGTTAGCCTTCTAGCAAGCTGAACTTGCTCTTCCCGTTCCTTTTAACCCACTTCCTGGTTGGGTTTGGTGTCTCCTCTTAGAATCTCCGAAACATACCACAGATCATTCTACATTCAACCAGTTTGTCTCATGGAAAAAAAAAAAAAAGCAACAGGCAGCAGTGGAATTCAGGCCACCCCAAGTCACCAATGTGGCCTGATGGATGTGGAAACTGGACCATGCCTCAGGGATGAGGCATGTGATGGTTGGTATGCTGTCATTACTGAAACCTGAAAGGGGAAGTTCACATGAGGCCTGTGGTTGACTTCTCAACCCTGCTGGCAGGGGCACACGCCAGTAAGGAAATTGCAATCCCTAAATAAACGGTAGGCTGGGAACCTGAGCACCAGCAAGGGAGAGGGCAGGGACTGCTGGCCTGGGCAGGGCTGGCCAAGATGGAGCAAACAAAGCTAAGATTTAAACTTTGCAAGAATGTCATGTCAATTCAGACTCCCCAGGAGGGCCCCCTGAGAGTCCAAATTGCCAGTCATCAAGCCTCAGACTTGGCAGAATTTTTAAAGTAGGACAGTTAGTCCAATCCCTTCATTTGTCAGATAAGAAGAGTGAGAGCCAGTGGGGACAAGTGACTTGCCAAATGCCCAATAGCCAGAAAGCTAAGTTCCTAGGTCATTTATTATCCCATAGACCTCCTGAGACTTGCTATTTTTTCTCCACTGTTTTCTCCTTTCAAAGACACTTTTAAAGTCTTTTCAACATGCAAACTATGTGTGTATTCAGAGCTAAGACTCTCTCTGCCTAAAATAGGCTTATTTAGTTCCTTCTCTCTGGTGGTCCTTGCTCAAAGGCACAACCTCTTTTTTACAGATAAAACTCAATTTTCAAACTCAAAGGGAAGAGATGGAGAGGCAAAGGATTCCTTGATCCTCTATTATGTGCCAGGATTTTCCCATGCCTTAACTCATTTTAATCCCCACCACAACCCGTACAGGCTAGTATCATGGACCCATTTCCCAGATGGGAAAGCTGAAGCATAGAGAAGCAGTAAGCAGCAAGCAAAATTCTCAATTTCCATAAATAACCTAACCTTCTCCTCTTTGGAACCTTCTCAGTTCAGAAAAACAAAAAAAAAACCAAGAATTTAAAAAATAGGGCATTTTCAAGATTTCTGATTATGGCTTTTCTTTTAACAAACTTGTTTTTTTTCAAAATAATAATTCCTGATCATTTCTATGTTTAGAAAAAAGCACATTATTGAAAACATGAAAATTTAGGGGAGTGATATGGTTTGGATCCGTGTCCCCACCCAAATCTCATGTTCAATTGTAATCCCCAATGTTGGAGGTGGGGCCTGCAAGGAGGTGACTGGATCATGGAGGCAGTTTCTCATGAATGGTTTAGCACCATATGCTGGATGCTGTCCTCACAATAGTGAGTGAATTCTCATGAGATCGAGTCATTTAAAAGTGTGTGGCACCCCCCCACCCCACCTGTTTTGTGCTTTTACTCTGGCCATCTGACTGTGACTCCTCCCTCTTCAACTTCCACCATAATTGTAAGTTTCCTGAGGCCTCCTCAGAAGCCAAGCAAATGCCAGCATCATGCTTCCTCTACAGCCTGCAAAACTGTGAGCCAATTAAACCTTTTTTCTTTATAAATTAGCCAGTCTTTGGTATTTCATTATAGAAATGTGAGAATGGAATAATATGGGAGGAAAGAAGAGGAAAAAAATCCTTTATAATCTCTCTTCCCAGAACAAATGTCAACATTTTAGTACATTTTCCCCGAAGTTGTTATTCTACATTGATAAATATAACCTTTTTACACATTAAGAATACTAAACCTCTAAACTACTATAAACTTTAAAAATACATTTCATAGTTGGTTATTTTGCGCTTTTTATCAACTTTTATTTTAGATTTAGGGAGTATATGTACAGGTTTGTTACTCGGGTATACTGCAAGATGCTGAGGTTTGGGGTATAAATGATCCCATAACCCAGGCATTAAGCATAGTACTCAATAGTTATTCAACCTTTGTCCCCTTGCCTCCTTCCTCCCTAGTAGTCCCCAGTTTCTATTGTTGCCATCTTTATGTCCATGAGTACTTGATGTTTAACTCCCACTTATAAGTGAGAACGTGCAGTATTTGGTTTTCTGTTAATGTGTTAATTCACTTAGGATAATGGCCTCCAGCTGCATCCATGTTGCTGCAAAGGACATGGTTTCATTCTTTTTTATGGCTGTATATAGTATCCCATGGCGTATACATACTAAGCGTTCTTCATCTAGTACACCATTAATGGGCACCTAGGTTGATTGCATGTCTTTGCTATGGTGAATACTGTTGCGATGAACATTTAAGTGTATGTGTCTTTTTGGTAAAACAATTTACATTCCTTTGGGTAATGGGATTGCTGGGTCAAATAGTAGTTATCTTTTAAATTCTTTGAGAAATCTCCAAACTGCTTTCCACAGAGGCTGACCTAATTTGTATTACCACCAACAGTGTATAAGCGTTTCCATTTCTCCACAACCTCACTAGCATCTGTTGTGCTTTGACTTTTTAATAATAGCCATCCTGATTGGTGTAAGATGGCTTCTCACTGTGGTTTTTATTTGCTTCTCTCTGATGATTATGTTTGTTGGACACTTGCATGTCTTCTTTCGAGAAGTGTCTGTTCATGTCTTTTGCCTAATTTTTCATGGAGTTATTTGTTTTTCTGCTTGTTCAATGTTTAAGTTCCTGATAGATTCTGGATATTAGATCTTTGCTGGATGTGCAGTTTGCAAATATTTTCTCCCATTCTGTAGATTGTTTGTTTCCTCTGTTAATAGTTTCTTCAGCTAAGCAGAAGAACTGTAGTTTAATTAGGTCCCACTTGTCAATTTTTGGTTTTGTTGCAATTGATTCTGAGGACTTAGTCATAAATCCTTTCACAAGGCCAATGTCCAGCATGGTGTTTCCTAGATTTTCTTCTGGGATTCTTAGAGTTTGAGGTCTTACATTTAAATATTTAATCCATCTTGAATTAAGCTTTATACATATAGTGAAATGTAAGTGTCTAGTTTCATTCTTCTGCATATGGCTAGCCAGTTATCCCAGCACCATTTATTAAATAGGAAGTTGTTTCCCCATTATTTACCTTTGTCAATTTTTCAAAGATCAGATGGCAATAGATGTGTGTATTTATTTCTGGGTTCTCTATTCTATTCCACTGGTCTATGTGTCTGTTTTTATACCAATACTATGCTGTTTTGTTTATTGTAGCCTTATAGCATAGTTTGACATCGGGTAATATGATGCCTCCAGGCTTGTTCTTTTTGCTTAGGATTGCTTATATGGTTTGGATGTTTGCTCCAAATCTTATGTTGAAATACGATTCCCAATGTTGGAGGTGGGGCCTGGTGGGCGGTAATTGGATCATGGGAATGGATCCTTCATGAATGGTTTAACACCATCCCCTTGCTGCTAAGTGAATTCTTGCTCAGTTAGCTCACATGAGATCTGGTTGTTGAAAAAGAGTCGGGGCCCTCCTCCCAGTTCTTGCTCCAGCTTTTCATGTGATGTACCTGCTCCTGCTTTGCCTTCTGCTGTGACTGTAAGCTTCCTGAGGCCCTCACAAGAAGCTGAGCAGTTGTTGTTGCCATGCTTGTACAGCCTGCCAAACCATGAGCCAATTAAACTTCTTTTCTTTATGGAATACCCAGCCTCAGGTATTACTTTATAGCAATGTGAGGACAGCCTATTACAATTGCTTTGGCTATTCAAGTTCTTTTTTGGTTCCATATGAAGTTTAGAAAAGTTTTTTCTAGTTCTGAGAAAACTGACATTGGTAGTTTGATAGGAATAGCATTGAATCTGCAAATTGCTTTAGGCAGTATGGCCATTTTAATAATGATTTGTCCACTCTATGAGCATGGAATGTTTTTTCCATTTGTTTATGTCATCTGTGATTTCTTTGAGCAGTGTTTTGCAGTTCTTCTCATAGAGATCTTTCACCTCCTTGGTTAGATGTATTCCTAGGTATTTTGTGTGTGTGTGTGGCTATTATAAATGAGACTGCATTCTTGATTTTGCTCTCAGCTTGAACACTATTGGTGTATAGAAATGTTACTGATTTTATTACATTGATTTTGTATCCTGAAACTTTACTGAAGGTTTCAGAAGTCTTTTGGCAGTCGTTAGGGTTTTCTAGGTATAGAATCATACCGTCAGTGAAGAGATATAGCTTGACTTCTTTTCCTGTTTAGTTGCCTTTTATTTCTTTCTCTTGCCTAATTGCTCTGGCTAGCACTTCCAGTACTATGTTGAATACGAGTAATGAGAGTGAGCATCCTTGTCTTGTTTCAGTTCTCAAGGGGAATGTGTCCACTTTTTGCCCATTCAATGTGATGTTGGCCATGGGTTTGTCATAGATGGCTCTTATTATTTTGAGGTATGTTGCTTCAATGCCTAATTTCTTGAGGGTTTTTATCATGAAGGGATGTTGGATTTTATCAAAAGCTTTTTCCACATCTATTGAGATTATCATATGGTTTTTGTTTTTAATTCTGTTTATGTGTTGAACACATTTATTGATTTGCATATATTGAACCAACTTTGCATTCTAAAAATGAAGCCTACTTGATTGTGGTGAGTTAATTGTTTGATGTTGTTGAATTTGGCTTGATAGTATTTTGTTGAGGATTTTTGCATCTACATTCATCAGGGATACTGCCCTGTAGTTTTCTTTTCTTGTGTCTTTGCCAGGTTTTGGTATCAGGGTGATACTGACGTTGTAGAATGAGTTAGGGAGGAGTCCGTGTTCCTTGCCTTTTTGCTATAGTTCCAGTAAAACTAGTACCAGCTCTTCTTTGTATGTTTGAAAGAATTCAACTGTGAACCCATCCAGTTCAAGGCTTTTTTTGGTTGGTAGGTTTTTTGTTACTTATTCAATTTTAGAACTCAATATTCGTCTTTTCCGTGTTTCTAAGTCTTCCTCATTGAATCTTGGGAGAGTGTGTGTTTCCACGAATTTACCCAGTTCCTCTAGATTTTCTAGTTTGTGTGCATTTAAGTGTTCATAATAGTCTCTGAGGATCTTCTGTAATTCTGTGGGATAAGTTGTATTGTCACCTTTGTCATTTCTGATTGAATTTATTTGGATCTTTTTTTCTTTGTTAATCTAGCTAATGGTCTATCAATCTGTCTGTTCAAAGAACCAATTTTTAGTTTCATTGATTCTTTGTATGCATTTTTGGGTCTCAATTGTGTTCAGTTCTGCTCTGTTTTTTTTATTTCTTTTCTCTGCTAGCTTTGGGGTAAGTTTGCTCTTGTTTTTCTAGTTTTTCTAGGTGTGATGTTAGATTGTTAATTTGAGATCCTTCTAACTTTTTGAGATAGGCACTTAGCACTACAAACTTTCCTCTTAACACTGCTTTTGCTCTGTCCCAGAGCTTTTGGTATCTTGTGTCTCTGTTTTCATGTAGTTCAAATAATTTTTATAGTTCTGCCTTAATTTCACTGTTTACTCAAAAGTCATGCAGGAGCAAATTGTTTAATTTCCATGTAATTATGTGCTTTTGAGAGATCTTCTTGGTATTGATTTCTATTTTTATTCCACAGTGATCCAAGAGTATGGTTACTATGATTTCAATTTTTCTGAATTTATTGAGACTCACCTTATGGCCGAGCATGTGGTTGATCTTGGAGTATGTTCCACGTGCAGGTGGGAAGAACATATATTCTGTGGTTGATGAGTGGAATATTCTGTAGATGTCTATTAGGTCCAATTGGTCAAGTGTTGTGTTTAAGTCCAGAATTTCTTTGTTAGTTTTCTGTCTCGATGATCTGTCTAATGCTCACAGTGGGGTTTTGAAGTCTCCCACTATTATTGTGTGTTGCTGTCGAAGTCTTTTCGTAAGTCTTACAAATTCATATTTTTGACTCTGAGTGCTCCAGTGTTGGGTACATACATTTTTAGGTTAGAAAAGTCTTTATCCTTTATCATTATGTAATGCCTTTCTTTGTCCTTTTTAACTGTTGTTGGTTTTAAAAGTCTGTTTTATCCAACATAAGAATAGTGACCCCTGCTCCTTTTTTGTTTGTTTGCTTTTTATTTGCACAGTGGATCTTTCTCCAACTCTACTTGGAGCCTATGTGTGTTGTTACATGTGATGTGGGTCTCTTGAAGACAGCAGACAGATAAATCTTGTCTTTTGATCCAACTTTTCACTCTGTGCCTTTTAAGTGGGGCATTTAGACTATTTACATTCAAGATTAATATTGATATTTGAGGTTTTGATCCTATAATGAAGTTGCTAGCTGGTTGCTTTGTAGTTTTGATTGTGTGGTTCCTTTATAGGGTCTATGGGCTAAGTACTAAGTGTGTTTTTGTGGCAGCAGGTATCATTCTTTTGTATCCATATTTAGAATGCCCTTAAGAATCTCTTGTAAGCCTTAAGTAAGCAAAGTTATTAATCATTTCCTTTATAATATTTTTCTTTATTTTTAATAACAGCTTTCATGAGCTATAATACACACACCATAAAATTCACCCTTTTAAAGAGTATAATTTAGAGGTTTCTGCAACCATCACTGCTATTTAATTCCAGAACATTTTCATCACCCAAAATCCAGTACACATTAGCAGTAACTCTTCTTTCCTCCTTCCCCCTAGCTCCTGGCAATCACTAATCTACTTTCTGTCCCTAATTTGCCTACACTGGACATTTAATTAATAGTATCATATAATATGTGGCCTTTTCTGACTGACTTCTTCCATTTAGCATAATGTTTTCAAGGTTCATCCATGTTGTAGCCTATATCAGTAATTTATTACTTTTTGTTGATGAATAATATTCTACTATGTGGATATGCCATATTTTGTTTCTTCATATATCAGATGATAGACATTTGGGTTGTTTTAGCTTTTGCTATTATAAATAATGGTAGCGTGAACACTTGTGGATAGTGTTTTGTGCGGACATATGTTTGCAATTCTGTTGGGTGTGTACCTACAAGTGAAATTTCTAGGTCATGTGGTAACTCTATGTTTAACATTTTGAGGAACTGCTAACAGTTTTCCAAAGAGGGCTGTACCATTTTATGTTCCCACCATCAACATATGAGAATTCTAATTATTCACATCCTCCCCAACGCTCATTATTGTCTGTCTTTCTTATTTTAGCCATCCTAGTGTGGGAGAAGTTGTATTTAATGCTGGTTTTGATTGGCATTTCCCTAATGACGAATGATGTTCAGTATTTTTTATGTCCTTATTGGCCATTTGTATGTCTTCTTTGGAGAAATGTCTAATTAAATCTTTTGCCCAGTTTTGTAATTCAGTTATCTTTTTATTGATGAATTATTTTTTCTTTATTTTTAAAGAAACGTTTTAATTAAAGTATTAATATAAGAAAGTACACAAATCATAGACTTTCAAAATGATGAATTGTGGTCAAGTGAACACACTTGGGCCAACCAGATCACAAAACAGAACATAATAGAAATAGAATATTACCTGTACTTCAGAAACCTCCTTCCTGGCCCTCCCAACCTTCACTTTTCCCTCCTCTTCTTCAAATTAACTACTATACAGATATCTAATACTATCAATTAGTTTAGCTTGTTTGGAGAACATATATTATATATGTTCTTTTGTGGCTGGCTTCTTCCAACATTATTTTGGGGATAGTATTCATTTACGCTATTGCATATGGCAATAGCTTTTTTTTTATTATTATACTTTAAGTTTTAGGGTACATGTGCACAGTGTACACGTTAGTTACATATGTATACATGTGCCATGCTGGTGTGCTGCACCTATTAACTCGTCATCTAGCATTAGGTATATCTCCTAATGCTATCCCTCCCCCCTCCCCCCTGCATATGGCAATAGCTTGGTCCTTCTCATTGCCATATAGCATTTCATTGTATGAATATTCCACTACTGTTTTATCCACCCTACTGCTGACAGCTGTTTCACTTGTTTAAAGTTTTTAGTTATTCTACATTTAGTTATGTGTTATACCTTTTTATTTAAATTAGGTCTTTTATAGCTATTGTTAGACTTGCTCTTATATATTTGGGGTTTTTTAATACCAGTGTAAGTGATATTGTTTTCTCAATTTCATATCTTAATTGTTTATAACTAGTATGTACAAATAAGATTCATTTTAAAATACTGGCCAGCCATTTGGCTAAATTTATTTACTAATCTAATATTGTATATATGGATTCACTGATATTTTCTACAGACTCGATTATGGTACTTGTGAACAAAAATGTTTTTTTTTTCTTTCTAATTTTTATACCTAGGATGTCCATAGCATTATCGAACAGAAGTGATGGTAACTGGCATTCTTGTCTTATTCCTTATATCATAGAGAAAGCTTTCAACATTTTACCATTGAACATGATATTAGCTATAGCTTTCTTGTAACTATTCTTATTAGATTAAGAAAATCCTCTACTTCTGAGTTTCTGAAAAACATTTTTGGGGGCCATGGATGGATGTTGCATTAATCAAATGCTTTTTCTGTACCTATGAATTATATTCATTTTCTCCTTTATCCTCTTAATATGGTGGATAACATGATTGATAGCCAAATATCAGTCCAACTTTGCATTCCTAAAATAAACACAACTTGGTCATGTCATTTATTTGTCATTGAGTTCAATTCACTAGGATATTTTCTACCATCAGTGTTTACTCAGGAGATTGCTTGTAATTTTCCTTTTTTGTAATATATTTGCTGGGTATGAATATCAAACATATGCTGGCCTCATAAAACAAGATGGGAAATGCTCCCTCTTTTTCTATTCTAGAAGAGTTTCTGTATGATTGATTTCATTTCCTCTTCAAACATTTGGTACAATTCACTCAAAAAAGCCATCTGGGCCTCTAATTGTTTCTGTTTGGTTTGGGTTTTTAGGTTTTTGGTTTGGTGGTAAGATTTTAATTTATAGAATCATTTCCTTTAACATATAAGACTACTCAGATATTCTATTTCTTCTTAAGCAAGTTTTGACAAATTGTGTTTTTAAAAAGAATTTTTTCATTTATCTAAAATTTCAACTTTATTATCACAAAGTTGCTAATAAAATCCTCTCATATTTTAATGTTAATAAGGTTTATAGTGATGCCCCACTTTCATCCCTGATATTGGTTATTTTTGCTGTCTCTACTCTTCTTGCTGATTCTAACCAGGATTTGTCATTTTTGTGAATCTCTTCAAAAAAACAGCATTTAGTTTTGGTGCTCCACTCTAGTATATGTTTACCCTCTATTTATTTAATGTTAGCTTTTATGTTTATTATTTCTTTCTCTCCACCTTCTTTTTCTACTGGTTTAATGCGATCTACCACACCTTTTAAATTTACAATGTCTTCTCTCAATCAAACTGAATGATTTGCTCTGCCAAAGACACTCCTTATCCTTTCTAGACTCGTGGCTCTTATAGTTCCCACTGTTTATAAACCATATTCCCCTTTACCAAAATCATGCCAGTTTTCCAAGGCTTTCTCCAAATGCTACCTTCTCCAAAAAGCATTCTGTCTTCTTCTCTTATTTGATATCCTTTGACTCCTCATAGCTCATTTGCCCTTCTTAAGTCACTTTATAACCTGGTTTATGTACTTCATTCCATTAGCTCCTTAAAGACTTAGAACTCAGTTTTTCCTGAAAGCCTCATCATGGTGCTGTACACAAAATAGTTGCTCAGTAAACACTGGTGTTTATTATGCAACTTCAGGAGTTAGATTCACAAAAACTAACCTGGGTAATAGCAGGAATTATTGACTGGCAACATTTAGTCAAACATGTAGAGTCAAATATATCATAAGAAGAGTTTGGGGGGAAAGGGAAATAATTCTCATCTTCTAAAAAAAAATCTTACTTGCTTCTAAGTGACAACCATATATCATCTAGAACTAACATTTGACTTGACCATCACTTAAAAATCACATTTTGCCCATTATTTAAGGCAAATAGTTAAATGGGATAAAGGGGTTTGTTGTTGCTTTATATTGGGGGGTCCAGTTGGAAAATGAGAAGATAGAGAAATTTCCCAAGAAAAAAAAGTAAGCTAAAGGATAATTCTAATATTGTAAATGCACACTGCACATCAAAACACACAGTCCTTTACAAGTTTGAACAAGTTATCACACCAGGCTGTTAAAAAAAGACTTCAGAGCAAGACTTAAAATGCAGGGGGAGAAACAGGGCATATGTTGGCTGTAATGTACATATTTGGAGCCCTATTTGGAGCCATGATAACACATGCATGTAAAAAGGATGAGTTTTGCCTTTTAGCACAAAATACAGCTCTGCACCTTTCCAAAAATATCACATAAGCCACTCCATCTCTCATGAGCTGCCTCTACCCATTCTAGGATGCAAACCTCAATGCACAATTTCCAAAGTAAATGTTGAAAGAAAAAACGTTTGAACCTTTGGGCTATCTTTAGAAAAGGCAGAAAGAAGGAGTAAAGAGTGCAAGAGCTTTGAGGAGAAACTTATGTTCAAATCTCAGCTGCCAATCTGACTAGCTGCAGGACCATGGGCAGGTTGCTTATCCTCTCTAACCCGTAGCTTTCTCATCTGTGAATTGGGGATAACTCTGCCTATTCACAGGTTTATTGCACATCAAGTGCTGTAGCCCTTATGTGTGGTAGTGATGTTGCTGTCATTGGGTATTACTGGGGGTGCAGGTGACATCGTTGTTGTTAGTGCTGTTATTGTTTTTAATAGCCACAAAAGGAGCAGGGGCATATTCTTAAGGCCTAAAAGCCATCATCATAATTGCTTTACTAGAAAAACTGGGATTGGCACAAATTTCATATGAACACAGCATCCTTGGAGAAGATGAATGAAATAAACCTAGGTAGGCCCTACAGTCAAAGAAGTGGCAGCTACTTCATAGTGTCTCTGACCAGATTCCAGGACTCAGACAAGTTCATAATGGGTATTGGGTTGTGCTGAGTAGTCTAGGTTTGCCTTTGAACTCTCTCCCCTTTCCAGTTATATGAAACTTGGTAAAGTTGCGAAGTAGTAGTTCTTGACTTCACAGTGTTCCAGTACATCCCTTTCATATTCTGTGGAACTAAACAGGCTAAATTTGACCAAATACCAAGATACCTTTTAAGTGAAACTTAACCCAGCTGCAGGTCAGCTCCATGCAGAACAACAGTTATCTGCCTGGGCACAAAGACAAAGTGAAGTCTTATTTTTATAACAAAAAATTAACCTCTGCATTAAAGTTGCACCTGAATGCAAAATCATATACTTTCACCAATAGTACCACTTATACTTCAGCAACTTAGTGGAGCTCAGTCTTGCTTTGCTTACTACTTATTTCCAATTAAAAAAAAAGCCTGGTGGGGACAAATGTCACTCAAGAGGAACAACTCAAGGCACACAAGTGCCCTCGCTGACCGTGGGACTGGAAAGCTAAATACCCACAATCCCCACTTCAATTACCACAGAAATACTGCTTTTAACTTCACATTATGCCTCTGGCTTCTTAATCCACTTTAGTTAACAAGTTCACCAAATCACCAAACTTTTACTAAAACCCTTACTAAAAACCTTTTACTAGTTAACAAGTTCACCAAACTTTTACTAAAACCCTTATGTCACTCATATATGTCTTCTTTGATAAATTCTGCTGAAAACCTGATAGTTTCTGCTATACTAGCAAAATGTTTGTTTTTCCCAAAGAATATCATTTAATGTTTTAAGCAAATGAACTCTAGAAAACTCTATGTATTTTCTTTTCAGCTTCAGCTGCTAAGTTTGGAGTGAAGCTTTATGTGTCATCTCAGTAATTATTATTACTCTAAGGGTTGTGTTTTTACATTTTTTAAAAAACACAACATTCTCCCTGCCCTTCCATTTGTGATAGTTGGAGTTGCTGTAGCCATTTGCTCACAGGCAGGGAGAGGTTGCCTGAAAATAGAGCTCACATGAAGGAAGACAAGATAAGGGATGGAATGAGAGAAAATGGGATCTGCTAATATCTTTTGAGCCTCTGGATCAAGCTGTGCCTGAAGCAATACCCCTGTTTTTTTCCAGTAAATTTTTTTCCAATAAATTTCCTTTTGACTTCAGCCACTTTGAAATAGATTTTCCTTCACTTAAAATTTCTAGCTAACAATGAAAAAGGGGGTTGAGATTATTTGACAAGAACTACCATTACTGTCATTCATTTTCTTAAAAAAAAAAAAAAACAAATGGCTTTATGAATGACCCAAGAAAGTAAAACTTTTGGACATCATGTTTATGTCATGTCAAATTTATAATAAAAATAAGTTACACATTCTTTCAAAGAAATTAGCATTAAAGAAAGAAAAAAGAGAAAACAAGCCTTTCAACTGTCATTCTTATTGACAGTTATCCACAAGAGCAGAAAAGAGGAGCTTAGCAAAGAATCTTTAGACACAAAAGCAAGAGAAAGAGGAGCACTGCAATATCTACAAGAAACTAATTTTCCAAGAAACACACACAGTGTTCTAAGTGCAAACTTGGAACATACCTGCCAGACCAAATCAGGATCAAAATTAAAACTTGAAGCTTCCTGCAAGAAGATAAATCACAAATAACTTTATTCACTTTGCTTCCTTTCATTTTTCATTAGGTAACTTCAGCCCCCAGGCTCAACTGGCTGCAGTGGATGTAATGTCTGCAAAAGAACTGCCCCCAGTTTGATGCAGGCAGATGATATTTCCCAAGGTTCACCCCAGAAAAACATATTTTCACAACTCCAAAGTCCAGAGGGGGTACACAAAAATCTAGAACCAGACTGTGGATCTAAATAGTGCTTGAATTTAGGCAAGATTTCACAGACTTTCACAACAAATGTCTTTTGCGAGTTTATGCAAAGTGTGTATATGGGGACAATGGGGGTTGAAGCTCACCCTTAGTTCCTCTAAAAAGCAAGAAACAAATAGGGATAATCTCTGAGTCCAATTTAGTCTAAGAAATCTCTTCTGTTTTTTTTTTTTTTTTTTTTTTTTTTTTTGAGGTAGTGTCTCACTATGTCACCCAGGCTGGAGTGCAGTGGCGAGATCTTGGCTCACTGCAACCTCCACGCCCAGGGTTCAAGTGATTCTCCTGCCTCTGCCTCCTGAGTAGCTGGGATTACAGCTGCCCGCCACCACACCTGGCTAATTTTTTTTTTTTTTTTTCTGAGACAGAGTCTCGCTCTGTCCTCCAGGCTAGAGTGTGGTGGCACGATCTCGACTCACTGCAAGCTCCGCCTCCTGGGTTCACCCCATTGTCCTGCCTCAGCCTCCCGAGTAGCTGGGACTACAGGCGCGTGCCACCACGCCCAGCTAATTTTTTGTATTTTTTAGTAGAGACGGGGTTTCACCGTGTTAGTCAGGATGGTCTCATCTCCTGACCTCATGATCCGCCTGCCTCGGCCTCCCAAAGGGCTGGGATTACAGGCTTGAGCCAATGCACCTGGCCAAGAAATCTCTTCTTAATTTTAAATTCTATCAAGGCACTAGATGACATTGATGTTTACCCAGGGCTAAAATACAACAGGGTCTCAAGTTCCACTCACTAGGCTTAAGGGTCAGTTCGATTTGGTAGTCAACTCTAAAGCCTGTACAATATGAGCTTCCAATATTCCCACCAATTTCACAGGGGTGTAATGTACAAAATCAGATGAGATCACAGCCTCCAGCCTGAGCTATACACATGGCTGGGATGACCCTCCACCAGCTGCCTCCCTAACTCAATTTAGGTATGTTGAGGATAGATGTTAATGGGACCCAGACTTCTCTGTTGACAAGACAGAAGGCAGTGCTTTTGTAAGTTAATAGGCATCCAAAAAGACAACAGAAAAACTTGAGGATCCGTTTCCGTTTCCTGAAAATTATATTGCTCTTCATTTGTCCTAAAAATACAAATGCCTCATGCCTACAAATTAGCAACACTGGCATCCATGAAAGGAGAACTCTAGGCTCAATTTAGTGATAATAAGTAGAAATGAATTTGCCCTAGAATTCAAGTTTCTCTGCCTTCCCATGTAGATGACCTAAGTGAGTTTTTTATTTATAAATTTTTTTATAATAAAACATAATGCTAAAAACAACAAACTAGGATCAAACAGATTTTTCTACTTTAAAAAGTCACAAAAAAAGGTACCAATTATCTTTGTATGGAGACATTTACCAGGAAACTACCCACCACATTAGAAGAGATGTTTCTCCTGTTTTTTCCAAAGGCCTTGGAAACTCGCTCTTTTTTTTTTTTTTCTTAAATGATAATTTGGAAATAGATTGTATATACATTCTCTTCTCCATTACTATTTGTGCTGACTGGGAAGGTGGGTGTGGAGGTGGATGGAAGGGGGACTGAGTCACCCTTTGCAAAAACAAAAAACAAAAAAAAAAACAAGTCTTTTGTCCTTTTGTCTTTTCATTTTTCCTCTTTTTTTTTTTTTAAAGCCTTAACCAAGTATCAGGTTTGATTCCAATGTGAAGTGAGGATAAACTCTGAATTATGAACCACTGGCCTACCATTCCCCAGTGTAGAATGTTCAGTTTCTTTTCAAAATGTTTAAATTATATAAGTTTAAAACAACTGATGAGCCAGGGTTAATAATTATTGTTTAATCCTATTGGCATTTGGTCCCTTCAAAGATATTTTTCAAACCCATATGCTACACATACATTATGAGTGCCTTGACTCATGTAACCTCATTTGGGGGACACATAGTTTTAAAGCAAATGACCTATATTATTTTCACAAAAATCCACTTGGATTAAGAAATTGTCATTGAATAAGAAAAACAATCCCTACTCAGATTGCACATGCCAAGAATTCAAGAGCTCGTATTAGTTTCTTTTCCCTCAAAATTTGGGAATTTGGGGGCAGATAATTCAAAATCATATGCTGCAAGAAGGATTGAGAAGATGCATTATCCTATCAGCAAGCTTTAGAATTCTCTTGCAGGCCCACGGTGACCAGCAAACTCCCTGAGTTTTACACTTGAGCGTGGAATTTTCAGATTGCAAACATCTTGATTATAAACTTGTTTCTTAATGGAACACATTAAATCAAGAATTATTTATTATTGAGATAAATACTTTACTATTTGCATCCTTCTGGCAAAAACTGTAAATAAAAAGATTTTAAATTTCTAGATACTAGCAAAGAAATGGAGTTTCATTTAGACCAGTTTCTTAATCATGGATCATGGCTTGGTCATGCTCATTTACTTCATGATTCCTTAAACGCCCTAAATTCTCTCAGAAGGATTTTTCTATTCCTTTAAATAGTGTATCTCTATGCCTGCACAGCTAAATAGGATACTTTGCAAGTACTTAGTAAAGTGTTATTACTTCCAAACTTGGTTAGGAGAAAATACTGGGGTCACCAGAAAGTATCATTTTTTGAAAAGTAAATTTTGCTGATAGCATTATTTTAATTATTAACAATACCACTGCATGTAAAATAACTTCCCTTTGCCAACTCTTAATTTCTCAAAGGTGCTTTTTATTGTGATGTGAATAGGAGGAAAAGAATTATTGTAGTTTAAAAATTTTACTTTTAAAACACACATAAAACCTCCCTAGGATTAGACATGCTTTGAAAAGGAACCCAGCTCCTTTCAGCCAATGGATTCTCGAGCCCTTTATTCTTTTGCCCAGAAAAGGCATCCTAATTAAAGGACCAATACATTAAATGTGCCCAGGAAGGTAAAAAAAATCCAGAAGTAAAGCATCCAGCAGGGTGCCTAGAGAAAAACACAAGGTTCATTTCATGTTTATATTAGGCACCACCAAGTTAGAACAAACTCCCAAGGCATAACTGTTTCTGACAAAAGTGCACAGTTCCTACCTTCATTTCGATGACAGTCTGGAGAGCCTTCGTCTTGGCTGGCTCCGGCTGAAGTTGGCTTCTTCGGTGCAATTCCTGGGGAGGAACACGATAGAAATAAGCCTGACGGTTCATCCTTCCGTTACACCACAACCTTTACACAGGTACTACACAGCCTGCTGGGTCCTGGTTCCCCTTGCACAGACATAAACAAGCCACAGGTGTCTCTTCCCCCACACTCTTTAGCATCCCTCCTGCCTGGAGCCTGCGTTCCGGTGAAAAGCTCCTGGCACATGCGCTATTTCTGAAACTTCCATCAATAATTAATGTCAACTGTGACAAAGCCAGCAAGTAATCATAGTCCAAATACTGTTCAACACTGGGGCTGATGCCCAGCCATCAAATCATAATTTACTAAATTACATTACTCTGTGCTCCCAATACAAACACAGCAAGGAAACAGAGGAAAGAAAATGACTAACGTGGTTGCAAATCCGCTGCACGCATGGCATTTTGCTACCGAGGCAGGTTTGAAATGAGCAGTTTAAAACCATTTCAGTACAACTGTGTCACTTTTGAGAGTGATCTGATGAAACCCTGTGAATCTCTTGCTTCCGAATTTACAGTTTCAGTCCTTGTTTAAAATCACATCTGTGGGTGATATATTTATGTATCATGATGCCAAGAAATTAAAATTGGCATTAGTATCAACAGTGTTACAGGGGAGAAAAAAATTGTTAAAGCCAGATGTGGACCCAAAAACCCCTGGAACGATGATGAACATTTCTTTAGGTAAAAAGCAAACAACATAATTACAACTTTTATCTTGAAGGTCACTTTTTATATGCTTCTCCTCAAAAGAACAGTTCTGTTGAGACTTTGAAAAGTTGTCTTAGCAGAAGAGAAGAGATAAGGACAATGTGTGTTCAGATCACACTTGGATTTTCTTAACTATCAACAGTTTTAGGAGAGTGAGCAATGGCAGGAGTAATCAAAAGTGCTCACACATACCCATGCTGGTGATTCAGGTCACCTATGGAATAATTCTATCAGTACTTACTTCTGCTTCCACAAAAATCAATTTAGAGTCAACATGGGGTAGTTCTAGACTTTCAGAACCACTGGATCACAAACATTTACTTTTTTTAAAAAAGGAGTTAAAAAAGAGGATCAATATCATTTCTAGCTTTCTGCAAGTAAAGGCATTTAAAATTAACTCTACCTCCACCATTATCATCTACTATCACTGTCACTTCAAAAAGATAGGACATGGGATCAGGTGTGGTGGCTCACGCCTGTAATACCAACACTTTGGGAGGCCGAGGTGGGTGGATCATGAGGTCAGAAGATTGAGACCATCCTGGCCAACACGGTGAAACCCTGTCTCTACTAAAAATACAAAAATCAGCTGGGCATAGTGGCGTGTGCCTGTAATCCCAGCTACTTGGGAGGCTGAGGCAGGAGAATCCCTTGAACCAGGGAAACAGAGATTGCAGTGAGCCGAGATCACGCCACTGCACCCCAGCCTGGTGATGGAACGAGACTCTGTCTAAAAAAAAAAAAAAAAAGATAGGACATGTTAATGTAAAAGCTGTCAGAACACTCAAGACACACAATAAAAGATAGTCCTATCCAGGATAAGATAAGCAGGCAATCTTTTGCCCACATCCTATTATGCTGTTCTTATTATATTTGCCAGTGGCCCAAGAAATCTTACAGGTGGACCATAGGGCACATGTCCAAGGACCAGTGTGGGGGAGTTAATGCTACAGCTCTGGACCAGGAATCTGAAAAGAATATTTTCTTCTCCAACTCATCACTGGCACAAATCAGCAACCCTGTACAAAGCTCTTTCTCAACCTCCAATTTGAGAACTATACTTCCTAACTATTCAAAATGCTCTCACATCAGTCAGGATATTTTTTCCCCTAACATATCCCTGGGAAGGGATGAAGTCAACCATTACCAAACATTTATGAATACAGAAACAGAAAGAGATCCTGTGTCCCTCTAGAGGCACTGGACTGCAATCATCTGGCAACACTACCATTTTTGGACTCTCTGGAAATGGCAGAGATTTTCTGAAGGAAGGACCCTAAAGGCAGCTGTCCTTTATTGAGCATCTGTGATGTCCCTAGCGCTGCTTGTCTCATTCAAGCCTCAGCACTACCAAATGAAGAAGATGTTATGTGTGGTGAGTACAGTAGGCTGCTGGAAATTAAAAAACCTGCACCCCCATGGCCAATATCAAGTTACCCAAGTGGCATCCCTGAATGCAGAATTGGGAAGGGAGACACAATAGCACCCCCATTGTATGGTATTTTCTACCACACAGACACAATAAATGTAACAACCTCAAGATCTTAGATAATAGTAAAGTGTAATAAGAAATTAGGAAATTATGAGTTTTTAATATAATTTATTTAATTGTGAGTTTGTACATTTAATTTGTAACATTAGTTATTAGAAGAAGTTTCCAATCAATTTGGAGTCAATGTGATGGTTTTTTTCCAGCTTTCATAGGTCACTACAATCCAGTGCCAACACAGCATTGGGTGGATCCCATGAGATTTCAAATTCCACAAAGAAAAAATCTACTTGGTCCTCAACATTACTTCCAAGATTGCTGGAGTTCACTGTACCAATAAAAACTCATGGACAAGAAAACAGAAAGTAAGTCACTTGTCAGAGTTTCTCTTAGTAAGTGTTAGAAGAAATTCATTTCATAGATCACCCATTCTGATACCAGGTGGCATCAAAATCATCTTATTAAAAGCCAGGAATGCAATTCATAATAATTTCATACCATAACCAATCCTAGTTCCAGAATAAAAATTATAACTTGAGGAGAGAGGTTAAGCTTGTATAAAACAAGGAAAAATAATGAAGAAGCAACCAAGCAACACAGTGAAAATAAAAACCATAGGTAAAGGCAGGTGCTGTTGTAATTTCTGCCAAACACGAAAACATTGTCAAGGGTAAACATGCAATAAAAAAGCTAAACTTGTAGCAACAGTTATTCAATAATGGAAACAGAGTTCTCTTTGCTATAATTATACAAATTATATTATAATACAAACCAGCTAAAAATCCTGATTGGGCCCTTACCCTCTGTGTCACTCCTTTAAAAATAAAATAAAATCTCCAATTACCCAAGAATTGTAATTTTCTTAATTACAATATTTTTCAATCCTGACTTCATAGATTCTGAGGCTCATCTTGATTCCTAAGGTGTCAGGTAAATGAAAATTGTAATCTATATCCAGACAACATGGACTGTCTGAAAATCCCATCTCAAACACTTCACCTATCTTTGAGATTTGAGATTATTACAATACTCACTCTGTGGTAGAGGACCAGTTGCCCAAGGAAGGTTTGTGCTCCTCTTCCATACAATAGAGTTGTTGCTAGGAGGCCCCACAACCACTACCTAGGTGGGGCCATGGGACTTATTTCTGTCCAGTGGAATGTGGTTAGAAATGAGCAACGCGATCAACTTTCATAAAAACTTCCTAACTAGTCCTCAACTCTCCCTCTTTTTCTATCTACTAGCTAGAAGTGAAGGACTTCAATATCCAAGAAGATGGTGTAGCCTCAAGATAGAAAAAGCCCACACTTCTGAAACATCATTTGAAAGGCTGCTGAAGACCTACATCACATGGTGATATGAAATAAAAATAAACTTCTATTAAGTTAAGCCTATGAGCTTTCAGGCTTTATCTACAGAGATCTCAGCTCTCTCTGCTTTAAGAACTGCAATGGCTACAAGGCAAATTAATACCTTATTAGTCCTGTATTGTTTGTTGCTTTTGAATCACCAAAGTGATTTTAACGTGTGATTGCTTGCCAAATTTTCTAAACAGACAGTAGGATGAATTGGTTGCTGGAGGCTCCAACTGCCCCTAACCATCTGAGCGATGCACCCATTATGCACTAATCCTAAACAACTAATGAATTTCCCCAGGAGCATTTGATGTCCTCTCATATAGGTATGACTGAGTATAAGATTTAACTTACTGTGATAGTTTTCACATGACAGTGTTATTAAATCATGAAGTGCAATGGTACTTAAATTTTTCTGCGTCACAGATCTCTGTAAAAATCAAACAGGAGGAGTGGATTCTTTCTGGAAATGGACACAAAAGCACATGCAAGCAAAATGGTGTGCACCATGTCAGCTGGTTCACAGAGCCTGGATCAGCACCCCAGAAGTTTACCTTTGAGCCAGACTTTGGGCTGATAACCACTTATTGAGAGGAAAGAGCACTGTACTAGAAGCCAAAAGTCAGGAGCCTGCAGTCCCAGCCTGAGACTTTGGGTATGCTGCTTCCCCTCTCTGATCAGCAGAATCAGGAGCTTTATGAATTGGTTTCTAATGCTCTTCCAGCTCTGAAATTATCCAGATTTTTAATAAACAGCTGACACTGAAATGAGGACCTCTAGCTGGTATTTCTAGTCCCACCTATTCTCACTTTTAAAAACAACAGAAAAAAATAAGGGAAGAAAATTGGTGGCATCACAAAATTTAACATCTCACTGTGACATCAAACCCCACATTATATATTTTCCTGTAATTTCATGACAAGGTTGGCTTTAGCTAGTGCAAAATTGCTAGCTCCTTCAGCTGATCAACATAAAAGTACATGAAGAGCCTAGAATTTTGAGCATGAAATCTCAAGTGGTTCATCAGAATGATACTTCTTGGCGTTAATGAGAGTCTAGAGTCAGTGGGTTAATCTGGATGGACACTAGCTTCCAAGATGAACCTGTCAGAATAATGTTCACACACCACATACTTTCTTCAACAGACCAAATAATAATAACAACAAGTAAAAACTTAACTTTCATTCCAAAGGTAATTATTACATTTATCTGGCCTTTTCCCATTATTGTTCTGTAAATCTATTACTGTATAACAAACCACCCCAAACTTAATGGCATCAGACCACCACCATTGTATTATGTTCATGAATTCTAGGTCAGTTTCTTGCACAAGAGCAAGAAAACTACATGGCCTTTTATTACCTAACCTTGAAAGTCCTATAGCACCACTTCTGTCATGCTCTTTTGAAGCAGTCACAAGCCTGCTTCCTAAAGGAAGGAGTGCCAAAGAATTTGAAGCCATGTTTTAAAATTGCCACTATTATGGACCAACACCAATTGGAGGAATCAATAGGAAAGGAACACTAAAATCTCAAACATCAACTCATGTCAGTCTTAAAACATGGGAGGTTCAGATATTCAAATAATAATTTGATACAGGGGATACAAGAAATACAGCAGTGAACCAAACAGACCAATATCCCAGCCTTCATAGTTGTTTGTTTTTTTTTAAATTCCAGATTCCAGTGGAGGAAAAGGCACGATAATTTTAAAAGGAGACTAAACCACATCGTTATAAATGTTATAAAGGAAAATAAATCAGAGAAGTAGAATGGGAAATACTAGGGAGGCATGGATCAATTACAACTTCCAATAGGATAGTCAGAGAAAGCTTCATGAAAAGGTGACGCTTAAGCAAAGATCTAAAGCAGGGGTGTCCAATCTTTTGGCTTTCCTAAGCCACACTGAAAGAAGAAGAATTGTCTTGGGCCACACATAAAATACACTAACACTAATGAAAGTTGATGAGCTAAAAAAAAAAAAAAAGTCACAAAAAAACTCATAATGTTTTAAGAAAATTTATGAATTTGTGTTGGGCTGCATTCAAAGCCGTCGTGGTGGCATGCAGCCCATAGACCACTGACTGGACAAGCTTCATCTAACGGAAACGAGGGAACAAGCTGTGTAGATATTCCAGGCAGAGAGAACAGTGAAGGCTAAGTGTGTGGCTGAAGTTGCATGAGGGATGGGGTAAGTAGAAAGCCAAAGAAGTGCAGGGGTGGGTGGGAATGAGAGGATGAGCTCCACATTTGGAGTTTGTCGTGAGGACATTGATTTTACTCTGAGAAAAATGGGAAGACATTGGAAGGTCTGAGCAAAGGCAAACCATGACATGAGGCACTTTCTTAAAGGATTACTCCCAATGTTGTATTGCAGCATGGTTTCGGGGTGGTGGTGATAAGGACAGACCCATCAGAGCTAGTTAGAGGTAACTGGAATAACTCTTGCAAGGCATGATAGAACCTTGGACCATGGTAGCAGAGTGGAGGCAAGGAGAAAAAGTTGAGTTTAGATATGTTTTGAACATGAGGTGGACTTGGCTTCCTGATAGATTGCCTGAGGACTAAAGAGAGAAGCAAAAGATGGCTCCAAGCCTCTTAGCCTGAACAACAGGAAAAATGGAAGTGGACCACCAAGACAGGGAAGATTGGGAAGGAAAGGTGGGAGTTATGGGAACTAAGAGTTTTGGTTTTGTATGTGTTAAGTTTGTAATGATATTAGACATTTAAGTGAAGGTGCTGAGTAGGTGATTAAATAGATGAGTCTAGATTTGAGGGGAGAAGTAAGAACTACAATGACAACTTTGGGATCAGTGAATAGACAGTATTTAAAACCTAGATGAATCAACCAGGGACTGAGCATAGAAAGAAGAGAGATCAGAGTATTGAGGACAGGGGTACTCCAAGAGTGAGGGGTCAGGAAGTCAGGAGCAAGCAGCAAAGGAGCCTGAGAAGGACAGCTAGTGAAGTAGGAAGAGAATGAAGAGCATGGCCTCCTGGAGATCAAGTGAAGCAGCTGTGTCCATAATGAGAGCGTGGCCATCACATCAATTGCTACTGAGAGATCAATAGGATGAAGCTAGAGAATTGACCACTGGACTTAGTCAAGGTCATTAGTGACCTCATCTAGAGCAGTTTGGGGGATGGCAGGAGTGAAAGTCTAACTAGCATGTGCTGTGGAAGAACAGGAGGAGAGAAAACCCTCAGGTTACTATATTTGCACAGTGGGCTATTTAACCAATCATTCATCTTGTCAAAACTCTGCTTTAGATTTGTACACCCAAGTTCATAGCTGCATTATCCCAATAACAAAAAGGTAGAAGCAACCCAAATGTCCATAGATGAATGAATGATAAACAAAATGCCATGTAAACATACAATGGAATATTATTCAGCCATAAAAGGACGGAAATTTTAATGCCTGCTACAACATGGATAGACCTCAAGGACATTATGTTAAGTGAAATAAGCCAGACAAATACTGCATGATCTCACTTATGATAGGTATCTAGAGTAGACAAACTTATCGAAATAGAAAGTGAAATGGTGCTTGCCAGGGGTGGTGATAGGCAGAAATGAGGAGTTGTATAATGGGTACAGAGTTTCAGTTTTGCAAGATGAAAAAGTCCTAGAGATTGGTTGTACAACAATGTAAATATGCTTAACACTATTGAACTGTACATTTAAAAGTGGTTAAGACAGTAAATTTTATATCATGTGTATTTTACCACAATTAAAAGTTTTTCTAAAACAGAAACAGAAATTGTTGAAGACCCACAACCGTTCCCATCTCTATCCTTTCGGAGAGTAACCATCATCTTGAAGTTGGTGTCTATCTTTTTCATGCATGTTTTTGTGCTTTCATTATGTATGTATGTCCTCATAAATAACATAAAGCTAACAATACAGTACGCTATTTTTTAACTTACAGAAATACCAGCTGTCTATTGCACAAAGCTTTTTTGCATTTTGGGTTTTACCCAACAATATTTATGTTTTCAAACTTTATCAATGATATTAAGTAATTCTATAAGTAAGTGTTTCCTACTCTTTTTTCCATTACAAACAGTGTTTCAATAAACCTCTCAGTACATGGAGGCGTGGAGAATCAAATGTGTTTTAGGTATCTTAAATGCGCAATAATTCTCTTCTTTCTAAAACATACTGTTATTTCTGTTTGGAATAATACTCCACCCTTTTATTCCCTTTTGTCTACAGAGGTTATCAAACTACAGCCCACAGACCAAATCCAGCCCACCATCTCTTCTGGTAAATAAAGTTTTATTGGAACGCTGCTATGCACATTGATTTCCACATTATTTATGGCTGCTTTCATGCTGCAATGGCAGAACTGAGTGGTTGTGACAGAGAACATATGGCCCTGCAAAGCTGAAAATAGTTACGATCTGGCCCTTTATAGAAAAGTTTGTCAACCCTTGGTCTAGGATATCTTCAAAACTCATACTAGCCAATCTCAGGAAAAAGAATTACTCCTCAGGTGGTAGTTTAAATCATGTCCACAAATTCTTCAACATTCTCTTTATAAAGTGAAGCCTAAATGTCTTCTCCTTCACTGTAGACTGGACTCAGTAACTCACTTCTAACAAATAGAATAAGGTGGAAGTGACATGTTTGACTTCTGAGGCCTAGGTTTAAAAGAAATTATGGCTTCTTTCTTGCTCATATTCTTGGATCACTTGTTTTGGTAGATGGCAGCTGCCACATCATGAGGATATCAAGACATCCTATGGTGAGGCCTGTGTGACAGGAAACTGAGGCCTCCTGCCAAAAGCCCTGCGAATGAGCCATCAAAAAAGTGGATCATCCAGTCCCATTCAAGCCTTCAGATGACTGCAGCCCTGTCCAACAGCCTGATTGCAACCTCATAAGGGGCACTGGGCCAGAACTACCCAGCTAAGCAACTCCCAAATTCCTGACCTACAGAGTCTGTGAGATAATAAAGGTTTGTTGTTTTAAGCCATTAAATTTGGGGTAATGTGTTATGCAGCCATATATTGCAAATATATCACAGGAAGGTCAACAGCTGACCCTCTAGACTAGTCTAACATTCCATACACTCATGTATACTCTCATAGCATTGTGTACTTTTCCTCCATGTCACTGAACATGGCCACAATTTTACACTAATTTATAAAATTAATTAATCCATGTCTGTGTATATCATGGAGTGGTAAACTCCATGAGAACAGTGACTCTATGCCCATTACATGCTCAGTAATTAACACAGTGCCTGCCAACAGTAGGCGCTCAACAAACACTGATGGCTTGATTAAATGAAACCGTACAAATGACACTGTATGTATAAGCCTGGAAGTCCTACAGTACTTTCGACCAAAAGGAGTCTGCTGTGAAGGATGATAATAACTAACAGTTACTTACACATTGCTATGCGCTAAGCACTCTTTTAAGTATTTAATAAATATTAATGTGTTCAATCCCCAAAATAACCTCCCTAAGTAGGTATTATCACCATTTTATTATCACCATTTTTCACTTGAAGAAACAGAAATAGAGAAGTTATTAACTTACTCAAGAAAACCTTACTGAACTGTACTGCAGAAATTTATCCCAGGCAGTCTGACTCCAGAGCCACTGCTCCTAATTGCCTCCCTACACTGCCCCCGTTTCACCACTTGGCTTTGAGTTGATATTTGAAGTTGACACCTCCATTGGCTTCTTTCATTATAGGCACTTCCCTATTTCTCCTTTGATTCAGTCTCATTTCCCATTCTTTTCTTCAGTATTTGAAAATGAAAGAATTTTATCATAGTAGCAGTTGTCTGAGACCAATGTCCATATTAGATATTAAAACTTAAAAGGCAAACATGGTTGGCACACAGAAGAAGTGGGGCAAAAAAAAACCACAATTACTTTCAAATTTTAATAACCTTCTCAATCTTTGACCAATCAAGCGTTTATAAATAATAACCTAAAATATTTACATAATAGAATTAATAAGCCTAAATTAATAGACAGTTACACTGAACTTTGGATCCAATAACCTCCATTTGAAGACTCAATGGAATATTTAAAGATTGACCCCATACCAGGCCACCAAGGAAAACCTCAGATGGATTCCAAAAGGCAAAAGTTAATATACAGGCTACATTCTTTGTCCATACACAATAAAGCAAGAAGTTAAAAATAAAAGTTGAAAATAAAACCTCACTATTTGGAAAATAAAGCTCATAAAATCTTTAAATTTACCCTCTAGAGTGAGATCCTGTCCTCTCCACTTACTAGGTGCATGACCTTGGGCAAGTTACTGGATTTTCTCTAATACTCAGTTTCCTCATGGATGTCACAGCTATTTCATCGCGTAGAGAGGTTGGGATAAATATATGGACTGACACACAGCATACAATCATCATTGAAATGTATCCTTATGACTGTTTTTGCTCTTTAATGATTATTAGTGTTCCCGACAGCACATTAAAGAAGGCAGTCTGGCAGAATGCCTTCCCTGCCTCTTTGTTCTGTGCTCTGACATTGGCTAGCATTAATACACTGTCACTGGGTCTAATTGAATAATTTTCATTTAGCAAAAATCCACTATTGGCCAGGTAGGACACACAGAGAATCCCTGCCTTCACGGAGCTTATGTTCTAGTGCATGCATTCTCAATGAGGGTGACGTCATGCCTAGAGGATTTGGGGAACGGCAAGTTTCCCAGGGTTGTTGGAGTGGAAAGAATGCTGAGGAGAATGCTGAGAGATGAGATCCAAGAGGTAAGGGCTGCAGAGGGGGCAGAATGTATTAGCCCATATATAAAGATATATATAAAAATATCTTTATATTCTTATAAAGATATTTGTCATACACAGAAGGCTTCAAATTCTAGAGAGACAGGGAAACAGTTTCCATGGAAATAGATAAATACAGTAGGAAGTTATTAGTAAATTATTTTTCAGCTGTCACAAGTAAATGGACATTTGGGAGCCTAAAACTATGCTATCTGAATCTCTGTGCATGTACATTTTTCTTTAATTTGTCTTAATGGATAATGTGCTCCTTTTGGTGAATCTGCATTAAAGACTTTTTCACAGATTCATCTTGGTCCTTTAGATGTTATGGTCCTGGAAACCACAGAAATTAATAGAATGAAATTCTATTAATATTTGGCCAGTTGTGTTATGTTAGCAATGTCATAGGGAGAAACAATAAAATTTAGTTATGTAGTTCAATAATTATTGGACACCTAACACATGTTAAGCAATGCAGAGACAGCAAAGATAAATGAAACACCATCCCAGGTCTCAAGGAACTTGACTGTCTAATGGAAAAGGGAATATATTTCCTGGAATATAAGACCACAAATGTTAATTTCAACAATAATAACAGCAGCTATAACTTACACAATGATTATCATATGTAAAGCCCCATGCTTCCCATCTAGTGCCTGATTTGCTCTGCACAGCATTCCACCACATAGGACTTACCGCCCCATGGAAAAGGTGCAGCCACTCAGACTGAGAGAGTTAGGTAACATACCCAAGATTGCAAGGGTGGTAAGACCTGAGTACAAGCACGGTCAGTCTGAGGTCTAAACTCGCTCTTTTAATTACTAACATAACACTTGGTTTATATTGCTATCTGCAGTTGCTTCATCCTCTGCAAACATCTAGTATTTTAACAGGGATCTGAATCTGACTCTTGGTTTGTTTCTCAGTTCCCTGATAGAACCCCACTCATTTTGAATGACATGCTATGAGAGAGAATGCAAAATAAGCATCCAGGCCTGATGAGGGAAGAATGGCTTTGGAAAACCTCATGGAAGAGTACATGTGGGTGATTAATCTTCAACCAGCTTTGCACTACTCTGTTGGACTCCATTTCTGAGCTAAAATACACCTCCCTGAACCTTATGCACTGGCCTTTGTCCCTCTCATTTGGGGACATAAAGAACAAATTGGGCCAATCTGCCACTGTGACAGCTTTCTAGTCCAAAGTTTTTCTTACTAAAGAATCATTATTCTATTTCTTACATGACAGAGTGTCCTGGTCACTCACCTCAGCCTATGCATCTCATCTCATCTGATCTCAGAAGCTAAGCAATATTGGGCCTGGTTAGTATTGGGGTGAGAGAGCAGCTGGAAAAACTGGGTGCTGTAGGCTTTGAGTGCAGAGGCAAGAACCATGGAGTATTATTCCCATACTTTAAAACCTCATGGATTTCCCAGCTGGATTTTAAAACTGCAATGGACCAGTGGCTCCATCTTACCTTCCTTGTTACCTATTTGAACATTATATTCATCTGTAACTGTTATCCTATGCCTCTACCACCATTATCTATTGAGAGCAGATAACTTGTTTCTCTCATTTTGCAAGCCCACTAAAAGAGGGAAATTGTGTCCCCAGGAGTGGTATTTAATGGATTATACCCAGAGCCTCATCCATACATAAGCGATTTAGACAATGGGACTTTTGAACTGATGAGATTTAGATGAGATTTTGGACTGAGTTGATGCTGCAATGGGATGAGAGCTTTGAAGATCTGGGATGAGGTGAATGTATTTATTACTTTGGAGGAATGTGAATCTTTGGGAGTCAGAGGGTGAAATGTAGTGGGCAGAATAAAAAAGAAGTCCACTTTCTATTTCTAAAACTTACTAATATGTTACATTATATGGCAAAAGAGGCTTTGTATTTGTAATTAAGATTACAGACATTAAAATAGGGAGATTATCCTGGATAATCTGGGTGAGTGCAATCTAATCACATGTGCCTTATAAAAGCTGAGAACTTTCTCTGGCTGGAGGCAGAGAGAGATGCGGCAGATGAGGATGTCAGAGAGATTCTCAGTGTGAGAAGGATTTGATGTGTCATTGCTGATTCTGAGATGTAGGGGCCACATCATGTGCAAGGACCACAGGAAGCCTCTAAGGGCTCAGGGTGGCCCCCAGCTGATGACCAACAAGGAAATCAGGACCTTGGACCTACAAATGCAAGGAAGTGGCTTTGGCCAACCACCTAAATGATTTGAAAGCATATACATCTCAAGAACCTTAAAAAAAAAAAAAAAAAAAAAAAAAAAAAAGAGCACAGCCCTGATGATACTTAATTTTGACCTTGTAGAACTTGAAGCAAAAAATCTAGTTGAGTTGTGCTATACCAGGATACTTCTGACCTGTGAGCTAATAAATCTGTGTTGTTTAAGCTGCTAAACATGTGGTAATTTGTCATGGCTGCAATAGAAAACTAATATTGAATAGCTAATCTCTCCTTTGCACTCCTCTGTTGGAGAGTTTTTTTTTCTGCATTGAGGGGAAATAATTCCCCTGAAGCTTCCATACACTGGCCTTTGTTCTACTCATTCAAGGGCATAAAGAACAAATCAGGTTCATCTCCGATGATAACAGTATCCAAGTCCAATGTCTTTCTTACTACAGGGTCCTTTTGTTGTTGTTGGTTTTGTTTGTTTGTTTGTTTTGTTTTGTTTTTGAGACAGAGTTTCGCTCTTGTTGCCCAGGCTGGAGTGCAATGGTGTGATCTCAGCTCACTGCAACCTCTGCCCTCTGCCTCCTGGGTTCAGGTGATTCTCCTGCCTCAGCCTCCTGAGTAGCTGGGATTACAGGTGCCTGCCACCATGCCTGGCTAATTTTTGTATTTTTAATAGAGACAGGGTTTCACCATGTTGGCGAGACTGGTCATGAACTCTTGACCTCAGATGATCTGCCCACCTCGGCCTCCCAAAGTTCTGGGATTACAGGCATAAGCCACCGCACCCGGCCAGTCCTACTGTTTCTTATATGGCACGATATCAGGTGCTATTAGCAACCCCTGGGTCACTTACCTTAGTCTACTTCTATATGTCAGGTTGAATTCCTGAGAAGCAGAGCCTGAGACAAGGACTTCCATGCAAGTGGTTTATTAAGAGAGGGCTCTTCAGGAAAGCTTTAAGGGAGGGAAAGATGCCATATAGAGAAGACAGGGAAGTTAAGCAAGGGTGTTGTATAGGAAATCTAACCTGAGCCTGGACTTGCAGGGAGCTCTAGAGAGTAAGCTATGCTGTAGTCTGTTCCCCTTGAGGCAAGGGGGCTGGGCTTCTGTACCCTCGCTCCAGTCAGCCTCTGCCTGTGGGTTCCCCCAGCACTTCTGGACAGGAAAAAGTTTGGCAATTCTAGTCATGAAAGGCACACTTCCAGGAAAGGTCACAGATATGAGCTGTTGGCAACAGCACTCACAGCCACTGGAGGATGGGTGCATCTGCCCAGCAAAAGGGTTGCTAGGGGTCTGAATTGGGCAAAATGAGCATCTGTTACAATCTACGATTCAGAGGTTGTACACAGAACTCCAGGTTTTATCTGAACCAGCATGGAGTAAATAGGGTAGGACTCCATTATTTTTGTTTTAGGTAAGTGGCTTTAAAACTTATTTTAGCAGTATAAGCCTTCAAGCTTGTTTTGTCCCCAGATGAGATGCACGCACATACACGCATCCACACACTAAAATTAATTAAGCATCTACTATTTGTTAGACACTGTTATAGGTCCTGCAGACAGGAAGGAATTAAGACGGAATGGCTGCTACCACCATGAGGCTTACTGTCTGTTATAGACAGCAGTCAGAAATACGTAAATCAACAAGTTAAAAATTGTAAATGTATACAGGTAATAAGTGCTTTACAAACAACAGCAATAAGAAGATGCTGAGATAGAGAATGATGGGGGAGGGAATTATAGGATCCATATGAGGTCTGCCTCCCAAACATGTAGTATAAATGTCAACTCGCTAGCCCTAAAGTGCAGTACCAATTAAGACATTGTATCTTCCCCTGTTATCATCCCACTCTAACTTTAAGCTGGCAGTCAGGCAAGGTCCCCCAAAGGAGATGACACTCAAACCAAGACCTGAAGGATGAGCAGGAACCAGCACGCAAACACCTGTGGGGAACGTGGTCAAGGCAGAGGGAACAGGAAGAGGAAAGAAGTGGATTTGCTCTGATTAATAGGGTGACAGGGGGAGGAAAGGGCCTGTCATCCATCCACTAAGTCCACTGCAAGGATCCCTGAGGTGTCTTCTTGAAACTCTAAGGTTCCTCTGAACACAACTTGAGGGCCACCCTTCTGGGCATCATATTTTGAGTCCCAGAGTCTAAAACTGGATTGAAGAAAGCCTCTGGCTCTCCATCCAGTTGCCCTCAGGAGCCACCCAAACATCATTCCACATTCCTGGATCTTTACACATCTTCCCTCACACCCCTTTCTCTCTCGAGTACGTGGAGAAGGCGTGGGAGAGGGAGGGTCTGGCTGCTTCACAGCTCCAGCCAGAGGGCCCATTTTAGAGATGCCAGCAAGGAATGGCATATGAATCAACAGCGTGTTCCCTACACACCCCCACGGTCCAGATGGCTGCAGATCGCAGGAGCAGAGGGCGGCTCCTACACAGACAACTTCCCTGGCTGCAGACACGTGCCACACTTCAGACCATGAGAGAACACAGTTATGGTGGTGGTGGTGGTGGCAGCGGTGGTGGTGGTGACATTTTTACAGAAAAGGGCATGGTCTTTCTTTTGCTGCAGATTTTCATTTCAAACACTTGTCTGTAATGAAGCCTTGTAGTATAAAATGCTGAGGGCTCACAGAATTGGAAAGCACCATGGGAACAAGCTGGTCCAGCTTCTCTCTCCCAGCCTAAATCTTTTCACATCCTTGATGGGGGTCACTGGGCTGAAGCCTGAAAGATTTCAGATTGGGGCAGTCATGCCTCCGTGACGCAGCTCTGATAGTTGGAAAGTTCTCTCCTTATAAATGTTAAGCCAAAATCTGCTGTCCGACTCTCCCCTCTTTGGTCTAGTTCCTCATTACACAAAATTTAATAACATCTTACTGGCCATTCATCAAGGTCTTGCCATGCACCAAGCATTGCGCTAACAACTTGCCATGAAATATTTCATTTAACCCACACCCCAAACTTAGGAGGTAAGCACCAATCTTATCCCCAGTTTTCAGGAGGAAACCAGAGTCTTGAAGAGGTTAATGGAGCAGCCTAAGACCAGACCACTGGAAAGCAAAACTGAGGTTTGGGCCCACATCTGTCATTCTCCAAAGATCCGTCAAGCTTTTGACAGCTACACAGCATAACCTCCACAGAATGAATCTGTTTCTTTCTTCATAAGACGGTTCTCCAAGTATGGGAAGCCAGACCACTGCTCTCTTCTAAGGACTTTTCTTCTTTACGTGAGATACCTCCAGGTCATTCAACTGTTCTTGATGGAATGCAAGAGCTCAAATAAGAACCATCCTGGTGACTCTTCTGTGGAAAAGCTGCGGCTTCTAATTGTCCTAAAATGTGGTGTCAAGAACTGGCCATTCCACGCACAGCCTGACAACAGCAGCATCTGTTGAGTCCATCCTTCTGGGTCTACTCAGGCCGCTGAAAATCTGGTCAGAATTTGAACAGCTGTGAATGATGCTGTTCTGCATCAAACTAAGATGTTCCTGAATCAGAAATGGTGTGTCCATACATGTGTGGGACAAAGTAAGGGGTTCTGTATCAAGGGGCTCACAGTGAACAAGTCCGGGCCAATCCCCCTAGAGAATTGCCTTCTGTGAGGGCTGTTCTTGGCATCCCCCATAGAATTTTCCAACATTTGGCTTGCAGGCACCACACATGGAGCCTTTTAAGCCATTATCCATGCATGGAATTGGAGCTTTAGGGTATCAGATGGTGAACACAACCCGCTGGCACTCTCTGCAAGCCAACCCTCCACCTGCTCAAAAACCTCACCATCTAATCTCTGCAGCCAGGTCCAAGCAACTCTGGAATATTTTATGGCATTTGCCCTTATTTTATTAAAATTAGAGGAAAACTGAAGCAAAAGGACTGACATAAGTGACAACACATGAAAGCCCAAGGACTGAGACAGGTGGCATTAGTGAGTTTTATAGTGTTCAAAATGGTTCATCTTTAGCATGAATATGATGCCTTAAGCCAGGCCTCAAGTATGAGGCTAAGCGACAAAATTGTTAAGGCTGCCAGAAGGGGATCCCTAAAGGCTGTATCTAAAAAATGAAATGGAATTAGGGATGGTAGAATTTTTTTCACATCTCTGGTAACAGTGGTCCCTTCCTCCTATAAAACATGTAAGTACAATTACTGACTTTTGAACATTTTATTTGCAAACCTCTTCTTGCTCTGCCACCAACAAGCTGTGAAACCTTGGGCAGGGTGCTAGCCCTTTCTGTGGCTCACAGCCTCATCTGTAAATGGGGATGACAGCTGCAACCACCTCATTGAGTTGTGAGAATGAAGTGGTTACCAGGTGTAAAGCCAGCCAGCAGTGGTGCCAGGAGAGTATCTGGAACATAGTTCAATAAGTGTTAGCTATCTGTCTATTCATTTAAGACAAGGTCTCACTCTGTTGCCCAGGCTAGAGTACAGTGGTGCAATCATAGCTCACTGCAGCCTCAACCTCCCTGAGCTCAAGCGATCCCCCCACCTCAGCCTCCCAAGTAAGCTGGGACCATAGGTGCATGCCATCATGCCCTGCTAACTTTTTAAAATTTTTTTGTAGAGATGAGGTCTTGCTTAGTTGACCAGGTTGGTCTCAAATTCCTGGGTTCAAGTGATCCTCCCACCTCAGTGTCCCAAGAGGCTGGGACCACAGGTGCATGCCACCACACCCAGATAATTTTTTTTATTTTTGTAGAGATGGGGTCTCATCTTGTTGCCTAGGCTGTTCTCAAGCTCCTGGGTTCAAGAGACCCTCCCACCTCGGCCTCCCAAAGTGCTGAGATTACAGATATGAGTGACTGCACCCAGCCAAGTGTTAGCTATTTAACATTTATGTAATAGTATGACCCAAGTGAAAAGATAACATCCTCATAACAGCCTGGAGTACAGAGGGCACCAAGATAAGTCAATGCAGGAAGAGCAGGGTGCTAGAAAAAGGGTGTGTATCCTGACAGGGAGCCAGGAATAGTCACAAAGAGAGGTTGCTCCAAGATGCCAGGTGGTCTCTTTAGCAAAATGTAACAGAGAGGCAACCTGAGCAGAAGGGCACAGGTGGAGTTACAGGCACAGGCAGAGCTGGCCAAGGGGAGGCCCTGGAAGAGACCTTGCTAGGCAGGCTGGTAGCCAGAGGTAGGTAGGCAGGCAGTGGGAGGGAAACCCAGGGGAGAACTGTGGTTTTCAGGGGGTCCAGGGAAAACATGCCAGGCCTCAGTGTTGGAGCAAGAGGTATAGAGTCCTCAGCCACGTACTACCCCTGGAGGAGGCACACTGCAAACTGTCTGAGTCTCTGACCTAGCTCCCCAGCATGCAGCATACCCTCTGGCACACGGCTGAAATAACAGCACCTAATATCCATCACCAAGTGTCCTCTCTATGCCTGAGCCAGTTTAGGTCTTCTTCATGGTCTCTCTCACACAACCTTCACTCACAACTCCATGAGATCCTGCAATCAACCTCATTTTACAGAGGAGGGGAGTAAGGTCCAGAGAGGTGAAGTGACTTGCCTAAGTGCTCAGATGAAGGATAGATGAACAGATGGGCAGGTAGATGAAATAAGGTTGCAGTGCTGTCGCAAACCCAAGACAGAAAACCGTTTCCTAGAAAGATGTTGCACATCACCCTCCAATCTCATCCCCAGCCAGTTAACTACCCTGATGTTCCCCTGACTGCAGTCACACTCACCCACATACACTCCCCCACCCCAGACACCAGGTTCACACTTACCCAGGAGGTCCCTTCTATTACATTCCCTTCAGTCATGAACTCGGATGAACTCAAATCTCATCTGCTGCACAGGCCACACACACACACACCTGTGCACAAATGTCTCAATTCTTTCCTCCCATCCTGTACTTTGCTTTTATTTGCATTAGAACACTGATAACTATAGTCAATATTTCAGGTATTAATAGTGTCCATGTAGCAGGTACATGTTAAGTATACATGTTCTGTGTCCTTTAATCTTCACAGTTGTTCCCATTTTATAGGCAAGAAAACTGAGAAAACTAAGTGACTGGCCTAAAATAACACAATTCAGATTCAATCTCCAGCCTTTCCTCTTAGCCATTATTACCTACATCTCTCCAACATTCTTCATGCATGAATATAGTTATGTCTCCCACAGGATCTCTGGGAGGGTTGGGCAGAATGTGGCACTCTGCTCTCTAACATGACTCCACAGTGTCTCACCCAAGGTTGACACTCCCCATTGTTTGCTAAATTTACTTAACTTCTTTAAGTTCCATCCATGTTTAAAATGAGGTTAATAGTTGTAACAGGGCCTAGCACATAGTAAGCATGAGATAAATGTCTATTAAATAACTAAAATAACTCCTGGAAAATAATGTACATAATCTCATTTATATTCTATCCATTTATTTCTACTCGATAGTGTTCCAGAAGAAGTTTAAAGCAAGCCTTACATCAATCCTCTGTGGGGCATATTATTATCCCCACTTAACAGCTGAGAAACTGAGGGTCAGAGAATTCATGAAATTTTACTTAAGTCACAGGGTTGGTGAGCAGCTGATGTGATTTAAACCCAGGCCTCCCTAAACACAGAGACCATGCTTTCTATTACAAGAGACTCAGGCTGGGACCCAGGCAGGAGTGGGAATCACCATAAGATGGACTTGATGCTGTGTCACCTGTACCAGGTGAATTGTCTTCAATGAGAGGGGCAATGGGGTCTTGGAATGGAGCTAAGCCTGAAGAAGGTGACCCATTGGCCTCAGTCATGGCCCAATGGGGAACTGAAGATCTTTAGATACTGGGATCCCAGCAGATCTTAACCAAGTCCACAGGAAACACATTCATTTGACAATGGGTATCAGTTTTCCATAAGGTCTCCCACTAAGTAGTACCACTAAGGCCAGCAATCATCCCAATGAAAAGGGTCCCAAAGGCAGAGGAATTATTTGAGCTGCACTGTCCATAAACTACCTACCCGATTTTGACTCTCCTTTGTGTATAACTGTTTAATCAATTTACAAAACAGGTATATGGTAGATTGGCAGCCTATATTAATGATGTTGGGAAAGAAAATTCATGAATACAGGGAAATGTTCACAATAGGTTAAATGAAAAGAGTAGTTTAGAAAACAGTGTGTACTCCTTGTTTTAATAAGAAAATATAAACCGTGTGAAAAAGTGACTGAAAGAATATATATCAAACTGTGTGCTGGCTCACGTCTGTACTCCCAGCACTTTGGGAGGCCGAGGCAGGAGGATCACTCAGGAGTTCGAGATCAGCCTGGCCAACATGGCAAAACCCCGTCTCTACTGAAAATACAAAAATTAGCAGGGAGTGGTGGCACATGCATGTAATCCCAGCTATTCAGGAGACTGAGGCAAGAGAATCGCTTGAATCTAGAGGCAGAGGTTGCAGTGAGCCAAGATCATGCCACCACACTCAAGCCTGGGTGACCGAGCGAGACTCTGTCTCAAAAAAAAAAAAAATCAAAATGTTACCAGAAATTAGTTGTAGGCAAGATCGTGAGTAATTTTCAAGTTTCTTTTTTGTAAATCTGTACTTTCTAAATTGCCTAAAATGAGCACACATTAATTGCATAAGAATTTATGCATAGTTTTTTTAACTTCCAATGCATGAGCTCATTTTCATCATGACAAGAAACTGATGAGACCAGTACTATTATTATCCCCATTTTGCAACAGAGAAACCTGAGGCCCAGAGAGGTTAAATCACTTGCCCAAAGTCTTAGAACCTTGTGATTGGTTTGAATCCGAAAGCCAAATTCCACAGCCCAAATGCTGGATCTCATAGGGACAGCATGAGTAAAAGCGTGGCAATAAAATAGCCAGGTTAAGGACACTTCTATGTTTATGGTCCTATTTGGTCTTTATAACTTTTCTGGTGAGTTAGACAGGGCTACCAATAAACTGGGACTCAGGGAGGTTAATTAGTTTGGGAAGATCATCCAATAAGCTAGTCATCAGCTCTTATCAAATTATTCATTGCTTTAGTGTCTACATTTTCCATCATGCCATAAGGTCCCTAATGACAAGTAAATCATCTGTTTTATTCACTGCTATATCCCTAGCATGTGACAAATACCCAACATGTAGTAGGTACTCATATAAAGATTTTTTTGAAGAGTGAAAGAATAGAACTAAAAAACAGTATGTGTTGAGTTGAATAGTGCCCCCTCCTCCCGCCACCACCCCACAAAAGAAGATCTATCCATCCAGAATCCGTGGATTAACTTTATTTGGAAAAAAAAGGTATTTGCAGATATAATTAAATTAAGGATCTCAAGATGAGATAATCCTAGATTATGCGGCGAGGCCCGATCCAATGATGTCCAATGTGCTTATAAGAGAAACGGCAGGCACCACTGTACTCTACAGCCTGGGAGACAGAGTGAGACCGTCTCTTAAAACAAAGAAAGCCAAAGGCATAAAAGATGAAAAATGGTCTACCTATACAGGGCACTTACCATGAATGGAGTTTGTAGGACTGGAAGTTGCTCTGGATCAGTGAGTGAGTGAGTGGTGAGTGAATGTGAAGGCCGAGGACATTATTGTACACTACTGTAGGCTTTATAAGCACTGTACACTTAGGCTACACTGACTTTATTTTTTAAAATAAAGTAATTGTGCTACAGCGTTACAACAGCTAAGACATCACTAGGGGATAGGAATTTTTCAGCTCCATTATAATCTTATGGGACCATTGTCATATGTGGCCCACAGCTGACTGAAACATCATTATGCAGTGCATGACAGCAGGCTTGAAAAAAACGTGAAATTTACCTCTAATCCCACTGTGAGAGATAACTGCAGTCAACGGTGTGGCACAGACATGTTTCTAGATCTTTTCTACATGAATGTGTGTACAATAGTCCTCACTTATCCAAGGAGAATATATTCTAATACCTCCAATAGATACCTAAAACCACAGATAGTACCAAACCCTGTATATACTATTATATTACCTATGATGAAGCTGAATTTACAAATTAGACACAGTAAGAGATTAACAATAATAACCAATAATAAAATAGAACAATTATAACAACATGCCAACATCACTGCTCTTGGGCTTTGGGGCCATTATTAAGTAAATAAGGGTTCCTTGAACACAAGCACTACGATACCATGACAACTGATCTGATCACCAAGATGGCTGGCTACAAGTGACTAATAGGAAGGTGGCATAGACAGCATGGAGACCCTGGACAAAGGGAAGATTCACGTCTTAGGTGGGACAAAGCAGAACAGCGTGAGATTTCATCATGCTACTTAGAATGGCATGCAATTTAAAACTTATGAATTGTTTATTTCTGGAATTTTCCATTTAATATTTTCTGACCAATGATGACTGTGAATAACTGAAAAAAATGCAAAGAAAAATCGTGGATAAGGGGGAACTACTATATATATGTATGTTTAGGGATGTGTTTGTGTGTGCGTGTGTGCGTGTGTGTGTGTGTGTGTGTTCTCTCCAATTAAAATAGGACAATACTGGCCAGGTGCAGTGGCTCATGCCTGTAATCCCAGCACTTTGGGGAGTAGAGGTGGGAGGATTGCTGGAGTCCAGGAGTTCAAGACCAGCCTGGGCAACATAGGAAACCTTGTCTCTACAAAAAATACAAAAATTATCTGGGCATGGTGGTGTACCTGTAGTCCCAGCTACTGGGGACTCTGAGGCAGGAAGATCACTTGAGCCCGAGGGGTCAAGGCTTCAGTGAGCTGAGATTGTGCCACTGCATCCCAGCCTGGGTGACAGAGCAAGACCCTGTCTCTAAAATAAGAAAAAAAAAATAGGTCAATACCATACATGCTGTGAGGAAGTCTACTGTCTGCACTTAACATTGAATCCTAATAACCTGATCCTTTGTGTAAACCTGACCATCAGGACAGCAGGGGACAAAGGAGGCCAGGGGAGCAGTAGGAGTGGCCCACCACAGCACAGAGTGTTGTATCACTGCATTGTTTAGAAACACCAAAGCACGAGGAGAGTATATGCATACTGATTTTTAGCCAGCTAAAAATTACTGTTCTAGGTCTTCTGCAGATAATCCACACTACTATTGCTGCTCCTAGGTGGGCTGCATCCACCACCTCCCCTTGGCAAGCTGCTACACCAGGGAAGATGGTGGTTTGGGTGGGGCAGGGGATGGGCATGCTTCACCAGAAGGCAACACGACAGAAGGTACACACTACGTGCTCATTAGACAAAGTTAGAAAACCATCCCACACTCCCTCCTCACAGAGATCTTGATTAAACATATGAGATAATGTCCACTATATCTTTTGTGATCTTGAGAGGAAAAGCACTAGAATAGGTAAATTTAAGTATATTAAAAATACAGCCCATTTTCCATCAAGTCCAGGCAATGGTATCCACAGTCAAGCAGTTCCCCTCTAAACTCGCTGCTGAGTCACAGGACAGATGACTTTCTTGCCTTCTTTTTTTTTTTTTTTTTTTTAGCATATCAAAGACCAAAACTTCTTGAGATGAGTTATTGAGAAGATATAAGGGAAACTGAATAAACTGCTTTAAAAACCATCAACCTGTCCACAAAGACACAAATAGATTTTAGCTTCTAACAACTACAGTGGTATAATTTTCCTGTTAGCCATTTCCCTTGAAATAATAATTGAACTGGCAAGTCCATTCCTCATAAACACTTTCATCATCTGTGGCTTGACGAGGCCTAGCTACTGAGCCACAGATAAATGTTTCTTCAAGATAGTAAATCATGAGCCATATGTTAGAAATTACCCTTCACCCCTATAAATGGGACTATACCCCGCTTTGTCCTTTCCAAAACAGTGGAGGGGATTTTTGGCAGCCAGACTCACATTAGAATCCCTGGGAATAACACTGCTAATCCCCAGCATGACACTCTGAAGCCTTCAGAGTCATATTTCACAATAGTATTTTCACAGTGTCTGCAGAGTCCGTGTTTATAAAAACAGATTCAAAACAATTAAAAAAACATAACTGGAAACTGAACTCCAGCCATGTCAGGTGTGAAAAAAGCTCTTGGTACTGGCTTTGCACATGCCTGAGATACAGGCATGATCCTAAGAAATAGCAAAATGTCATGATGGAAAGCCCCAGCTCTGCAGCCCCAGTGGCCTGAATTCAAAATCTGGCTCCTCTCATTTCTAGGTGTGTGGCCTCGGGCAAGTAACTTGGCCTCTCTGTGTCTCAGCTTCAGTATCTGTAAAATGGGAATGGTGATAATGCTTGCTTCACAGGGATAAAAGAGTTAAATGTGACAATATAAATGCTTCTAAACTTCCTGATCACAGCTTTCTGAAACTACGTTAGAATACGCCTACCATAGCAAACACTTAAGGGACAAGTTGAGTCAAGGGTTTTATAGGCCAAGCCTGGAGGTGGAATATTCACTTTTGTTCATATTCCATTAGCCAGAATTTAGTCACATGACCACACATGCAAAGGTATCCAGGAAATATAGTCCAGTTGTGTACACAGTGAAGAAGAGGGGAACACAATAATGGTAGCAATAGCCGTCTGTACAACACACATTTAATAGAAACTAAAGTTTCATGAAACAACTCCTCCACTTACTATACATGAGAAAGGGTGATATTTCTGTTTTACTCCATTCCATTCCATACTAATCTATTTCATTTAAAACACATTGGTCTTCACCCAACTGGCTGATTTTCACAATCCACTGATATTTCACAATTCACTATTTCCTCAACAAGTGTTTGCTGTTGTCATTGGCAATGGTAGTGGCAGTGAGCAAAAGGATAAACTAGATACTTCCAAATTTTTCCAAAAATTCTTAGTGTTTGGGTTCACAAGACTTTACAGTGATGACATACTCTAGTTTTGACTTCAAGTATTAGGAGTCAGAAATATGCATCTAGAAACACTGATCAATTCCTGGAACCTAGGCTGCCTGTGGAACACGTAGTTAACTATAATCATACATTGTAGGAACTAAGAGGAATAAACATTCACACACACACATGTTGCATGCATACAAATGGATGATGACCAACAAAAAGAGGCCAGAGGAGACATAAAGGAGAAAGAGCCAAGGCAAGAAAAAGGGAAATTTGTCCATTCTGGACACATAACACTGGCACAGAGCCCAGAACAGAGGAAGCACCAGGTACTGCTTTCTCAATGAATGAACCAGTGATGCATCAGGTCTTGCTCCTCAGCTCCTTGCCCTAGAAATTCCTCACAACCTGTGCATAAGTTAGTTCAATGTTCTTCCCTGGCCTTCTTAATGGGCTAAGGAATTTGACCTTGCTTTGAATAGTCACAGAGGCAGTGTAAGGGTTTAAGATGGGTAGGACATGATCAAATGTGCATTTCAGATGGATACCTAGGGTTGTACTGTGGCTGGCCTGACCTGAAGCAGGGAGGCCAGGGAGGAGGTCAGAGGAGACTGCGGCCTGAGCTATGGCAGATGATAGGTAGAGAAAGAAGGGCCCTGAATCAGAGAATACACAGATGTCCAAACTGATAGGTGTGGGTGACTGATTTGGAGATAGGATGCTCAGACTTCTGACTTGGGACAACTGAGTACATGAAAGTGCTATTTGTTGAGATAAAAAACACAGAAAGAGAAAAAGAGAATTTGATGAATCCAATTTTTGTACAAGTTGTTTCTTAGGCCTCTGACGTTCAGTCAAAATATGCCCAGTTGGCAGTGGGAGCGTGGACTGGAGGTAAGGAAAGAGTGCTGTGTAGACTCAGGTTGAGAATTATTATCAAATGAATGATGGTTAAAGTAAGAGGATCACCCTGGGACTGGGTCCAGACTATACAAGATCACAGGCCACCACAACAACTCCCAACCTTGGGGCCGCCAGCCCACTGTACCACAGAAGTGGCGAATAGGAATGAGCTTAGATGCCCACCAGACATAAGGGGAAACCACCTAATGCCTAGGTGACCCTGGATTATGGCTCAGTTTCTTTATTCATTCAACAGGTATTTATTGAGCATCTATTATATGACAGGCACTGTGCTAAGGACTAAAGAAACCACGGTAAACAAGAAAGACATGGTACCTATGCATGATCTGTTGGGTAAGGCAGCTGAAAACAAGGAAGCAAATTTTAACACTCAAATTGTTGGGAAATGCTATGAAGGAAACAAACAGGGTGTTGAGGCCAAGAATGCTGGGGAAGGGGAAGGATCTACTGAGAATACAAGATTAGAGAAGCCTTCTCTTAACAGGTGACATTTAAATGGAGACCTCAAGGGTGAAAAAGAACCCAGTGGGGAATGGTAAGCAGAGTGAACTGGATTCTAGACAAAGGCAAAGGAAAGAGATTGGATGTTTGAAAAACTGACAGGTAAGTGTTCTGGAGCTGAGAAAACAAGGGGAGTGGTAATTAAGGGTTAGATCATGAGAAGGAGTTTGATTTTAACTCTAAAGGACATTGAATATGTTCAAGCAGAAGAATAACATGATACACCACACACATTTTTTCCCCTAGAGACAGAGTGTTGTTCTGTCACCCAGGCTGGAGTGGAGGGGCATCATCATAGCTCACTGCAGCCTCAAACTCCTGGGCTCAAGTGATCCTCCCACCTAAGTCTCCCAGGAAGCTAGGACTACAGATGCATACCACCACACCTGGCTAATTCTTTAATTTTTTTGTAAAGTCAGGGTCTCACTACGTTGCCGAGGCTGCTCTGGAACCCCTGGGCTCAAGTAATCCTCCCATCTTGGCCTCCCAAAGCACTGGGATTGCAGATGTGAGCCACTATGCCTGGCCAGCCATACGCTTTTTAAGAGCACCACTCTGGCTGCCATGTGGAGAATGGATGAAGGAGAAACTGTGGACTCAGGACACTAGATAAGAAGGGAATGATGATGGTGATCTATACAAGAGGATAAGTAGGGGTGATGCAGAGGAGTCAAATGGCTTTGAAATATAATTGGAGGTATAGTCTTTAGGACATGGTTATAAATAGGATGTGTGGGTATGAGGAATAATCAAAGATGATTTCTAAGTTTCCAGCTTCAGCAACTGAATGGATTGAATACCTATCTCTCAAGAGTTAGGGTTACTGTGAGGAATTCAGACTATAATATTTATACATCACCCAGCACCAGGGCCAGTACATTAGGTGAGTGGCTATAAACAGGAGGCTTCCTCACCATTACTGCATTACTCTTCCCCCAAGAAACCCTCACACAGAGCAGGTTTAATGACTTCTCTGTCCTCATTTTTCACTCACCTCCATCACACAGAATCCAGGACTATTCTCTTCACTTTTTTCCCACACAGTTTGCCTACTCAAATACTCAGGGGAAAAAAAAAAAAAAACTACCTAGTATCTTTTTACTAAGAAAAATATCTTTCCTCCCAGCTCTAACAAGTTACTCAGATTAATCAGTTCCTCCCACCAGGGCCACCCTCACCCAACTGTGAATCAGAAAGTGTTCCTATCCTCATGTCTAAAACTCCAAGTGGCTGTTGTCCAAAGATGTGAGTCTAGAAATGCCCCCAAGCAAAATTCATATCTGAGAGCCTAGCAATTATTTCCAATAATATTCCTCACATTAACACCATGTGTCTTTTAGTAACTGAGTCAACTTTCTGCTGCTTAGGCTAAGGTGACTTGAGGAGAATACTCCATAGATACAAAAGGGGGAATTGCAAAGACTTCAAGGATTACACAAAAGAAGGAAGCCGTCTGTGTTTGTTGGAACCAGGTCGTACCAGCTCAGGAGCTGAAATCCCCAACTATCCATTAAAAGAAATTATGTCGGTAGCTTGAAATGGGCCATGGTGGGAGTAACTATGCCAGAGAAATCTGCAAATACTACAAATCAGGAATTTCATTCCCCATCCATTATGACAGCCGGTTGTTAAACGTTTACCAGCACATCATGGGAAGCAGCTTTTGTTTTTAAGCTACCATTTAATGGGCAATTACTATGTGCCAGGCACTGTGCTAAGTACCTTACTCATGTGACCTCCCTCTGCTCAGCAACCCCCAGTTTGCTGACCTTGTCAGAGTTCTTGGTACTCATCTTGCTGTCTCATCCCACCTCATCTAAACTTTCTTCAGTCCTTCTGCCTGGTTTTCCCTTCTCTCCCCATCCTATCTTCACTACCATCTCCCTAACATCTGACACAGCTCCCCTTAGGAAGCCTTTGCTGAATTCCTCAAGAATTAAATCCAGCAAACTATCTACCATATACCAAGCAAACAGAATTATTGCTCCTCTGTATCCCTTCTGTGTCACATACAGACTTGTCTCATGGACGTTAATTACTTGAATTATGTGAAAATGCCCATTTAGTTTTACTTATAAAACATATGATGGAGCCCTTCTGGGGTCAGTTCACTCTTCTCAGAAGAACTGTATGGAAACCAAAACTTTATTCCAAGGAGTGTGAAAAGTCAGCAAGGCCCAAGCCCTCTTTCCTTAATTGTCTTTTCCTTTCTAAGGAACTAGGAATAGAATTAGTAAAACAGAGCTTGAAGCAATTCTAAGAATCTCATTAAAATATGTGTCTGGCAAAGAATTCATTCCCAACACTCAATAATCCTCTGTTTATACATATGCAGCCCAGCCACCAGGGAAGGACTGATCAAAGCCATTTGCTTCAGTGGGTACAACAGGCTACACCCTCAGTAGAAACCCAAACTGTTAGGCAAGTTCTTTTTAAAAACACAAGACAATATATAACTATCGGACACATAAATGTTGCTATCAGCAAAGAATAAAAGGTTAAGAATATGCTCTTATTCATAATAAAATAGTTCCCATGGAACAATTTCTTCTTTACAACAGTAGGAGAGCAACATCTTACTATGTTTCCAGCGAATTCTTCTTTCCTTCTGGAAGCCTGTTTTCTGGATCAGTTTCAGAAAGGATGCTTTATTAACATGCTTAGCTACATGAGAAGCAAATGCTGCCATTAACTCAGAGTCAAATTGCAAAAACATAACTTCTTCCAGTTCCTGAATCAAAATAGTCATCAGTCTGTTGGTTTGGCCATCTTTGTATTCCACCATTAGGCAGAATACCGCAGGCCATCTGAGCACAGCACAAGGTTTTAGCTTGCTGCAACATCCAAAGTCTGCAGTCACTTTCCCTAGTAACCCGTAATAACCCCAAGAACATCCCCAGGTAAAAACCTCATTTGGGTTTTGAAAGCCTCAAATTACCTTATCCATGAATTGCAGTGCATTTTAGCAGGGCATAAAAATTATTCATGTTGAGGATAAAAACTAATTTCTCTTAATTATCCAAAACACATTAAACACGTTTATAAATAGCTATAAAGGTAAGTTAAAATTCCAAAATTTAATTATAATGATTTTGCATTTATAGAGTCTCCAGGAACATCCTAACTCATATGCAAGAACTCAAATGCAACTGCACTGCAATCTACAGCAAAAGAGAGTTTGCAAACATAATAGGGTATTCTGAGCATCTCTAAACTCAAGCTTTTTTTTTTTTGCTTATTTATAGATGTATTTATATGCGGCTTTATGGGGGTATAAATGACCAAAAAATTATATATATTTAAGGTATACAATGTAATGTTTTAATATAGATATACATTGTGAAATGATTGTCACAAGGAAATCCTGTCATTTGCAAAAACATACATAAACCTAGAGGAAATTAGGCTAAGTGAAATTTGCCAGATATATATGATATGTATGGAACCTAAAGAAGTTAAACTCATAAAAACAGACAGTAGAAGGGGACAAATTTTCAGTTATAAGATGAATAAGTTCTAGAGATCTATTGTACAGCATAGTGACTACAGTTAATGATAATCACATACATGAAATTTGCTAAGAGGTAGATCTTAAGTGTTCTAACCACAAAAAAAGGCAGGTAACTGTGAGGTGATGAATATGGTAAGCTCAAGCTCTTAAGAAAACAAGCCTTTGCTATTAACTTCTTTAGAAAAAATAAAATGCATTCCACAACCACTGACATTGAAATCACACATGTCTTAGGTCTAAAGAATCATGGGCCTTCAAGCTAAGAAAGCTCTTGGGTAAAAGATAAGTTGGTATTGTACCTGGGCTCGTATTTCCTGAAAGACAGTATAGAAGTTTCTTTGTGCAGCTGAAACATAAACCTCTTAGGGAAACATTTCTGCCCATTACCAGCTTATCAGAGACCATCAAGAATGGGATCACCCAGTATCTCCTTCTTGATTTGATTAAACTATCATTAAGTGCCTGAGAGATGGACAGTGGCCTGACAGCCTCTGACCTTAAAGTAACTCTAAGAGCTATTTGTAGAAGCTGAAGGAGACCGGATTTTTCGTCCACTTTTGTAGTTCGTGACCTTTGGCTTAAAAGGGGTACAATTAGGTCTTACTCATGCTGATTAAGGCAAAAATAAAGAATTATTTCTGACTGGAGAAAACCCCAATTATTAAGTTATCGTATACTCTCCAATTGTCTATAATTTTACAGCAATTTCACTAAAATCTGCATCAAACGTTTTCTACATGACTTAATAAATAAAATACCAATTAAAATGTTCCAGGTATGAGGAAAAGGCACATTCTCCTATCTAAATTGTGTTTATGACATATCAGGGATTGAGTATCCCCTGAATCATCCCAATTATTTTGTGACTATTCTCCAGAAAAGAAGCATATTAAAAACAAAATATACAAAGGTCAAATTGAAACCCTGGAAATAGGAATGATGATACTATTTACAGTGGACGTGGGAGGACCATATGAGTGGAGGAAGGTACTGGATAAGTGCTAACTGAGTGATATCTCAAAATAAGATCACAGATTAATCTAAAGAACCACCTTGTGCAGAGGACCTGACAAGAGATGTCTTACATTGCTTTAGGAAAAAACTAACAGGCCGGGCCTGGTGGCTTACGCCTGTAATCCCAGCACTTTGGGAGGCCGAGGCAGGTGAATCACGAGGTCAGGAGTTCAAGACCAGCCTGGCCAAGATGGTGAAACCCCGTCTCTACTAAAAATACACACACAAAAAAAAGTTAGCCGGGCGTGGTGGCAGTCACCTGTAATCCCAGCTACTCAGGAGACTGAGGCAGATAATTGCTTGAACACAGGAGGCAGAGGCTGCAGTGAGCCAAGATCACACCACTGCACTCCAGCCTGGGAGACAGAAAGAGACTCTGTCTCAAAACAAAAAGGAAAATGCTAACAATACAACTTTGAGTGCATCAGGTTGCTCTAAGTGCCATGAGGACAGGGGTTGTTTGTCTTGCTCACAACAGAGTACTCTCATCTCCCAACATGGTGCGTGGTACACAGTAGGTATTCAAAAAATACTTGTGGGTTGGATGCATGATTTAACTTTACTTTTGCTCTGCTAACTATGTAAAGTCTCACTTTTATTAAGAGACACACAAACATTTGTAATTAGTTCTCCTAAAGTTTTTAATGTGACACAAACATTTAATTAGATGCTTTTATTTTATTTTATTTTATTTTATTTTATTTTATTTTATTTTTTGAGACGGAATCTCACTCTGTCGCCAGCCTGGAGTGCAGTGACGTGATCTTGGCTCACTGCAACTCTGCCTCTTGGGTTCAAGTGATTCTCCTACCTCAGCCTCCTGAGTAGCTGGGATTACAGTCGTGTACCACCATGCCCAGCTACTTTTTGTATGTTTAATAGAGATAGGGTTTCACCACACTGGCCAGGATGGTCTTGATCTCTTGACCTCATGATCCACCTGCCTCAGCCTCCCAAAGTGCTGGAATTACAGGTGTGAGCCACCGCACCCAGCCTAGATGCATATTTTGAAAACACTGGAATATCTTCACAGTCACATCAATAAGATACAAGATTGTCCCCAAAACAGCCACTTACACTCAGAAAAAAAGTTTTTTTTTTAACCATGGGACGTGTCTGTGTGTGTGTGTGTGTGTGTGTGTGTGTGTATGTCTGTCTGTCTCATTATAAAGCCACATGCTGGATTTAAGTTGTCTTTGAATTCTTTCTCTTCAAAAGTACTTTCACATAAACTCTTTTAACACTCCATAAAACTCTGCCTTTTCCTAATGTAACTGCTTGCCTCATGTAGAATCTCAACTTCTTTGGACAAAAAGCAGACCCAGTCCTTACTATCTGCCACCCAGGCTTTGACATCTCCTTCACTGAAGAAATCAGCAAGGAATATGATAACCAGGTTTCATCTGATTTTCTTTTTCAGGCCATGGACGACTAAATGCTTGATCAGAGCAAGCAGGACCCTGTGTTCCATAATCATGTGTGACAATACGTAAAATTGCTATGGAAATTTTCCTCATTAAGCCCATCTGCAAATGTTTGTCCCCAAGTCCAGGGTGCACTCTTAGAAAGAGGAGTATCTTTTTACAATTTGGGTCACTGGAGTGCATTGCATTCTGAGCAGGACCCCAATTACTCTAGCATCTGATTAATGTCTGTCCAAACTCTTGCCCCGTAACAAGACCCTCTGTAACTCAGCTAACCACCTAACAACCCACATCATTAGGGCCTATTATCTTTTACAATGTTGATTCTTGGTATCCAAGGGCTGTGGTTCAGACAAACTATTTAAAGGCATTAAAATAACAACCGTCTTGCCAGCTGTGGGCATGGCCACCGAAACTACCACCAGGTCACAAAACCAGATGCAACAGATGCCAGGAAGAAGACTAAAAGGCAGAGGGAACACCCACTTGAGAAAACAAATCCACTTGTGTCCTACAGGAGAGCACTGGGCAGCAAATCCCAAGGTCTGGAGAATCAATAGCTGGTAAGAGAGATGTAGCACTCCACATCCTTTACCTAACCCTGCTGAATGGCTCTCTGAAATTTTATCTCCTTTCTTGCCAAATTTAACCTTGAACAAGGCTTAAAATTATTAAATCTCAGACAAATTATATCTCCTTTCTTCTGGCCATAAGACTCAACACTACAAAAATCATATATGGGGTTTCTGATAGCAACTGTTACTCACCGTTGTCCTTTCAAGTTAACCTGTGACTGTAAGTTCATGATGGAATAGGTATCATTGCTGAGCCCTCACTACTTAGGCATGGTTAAGAATTTTGCCTGTCCTTATAAAACTAACTTCTGTTTTACAAATGAGAATGGGGTCAGGGAATGTTTAGTAACTTTCTCAAAATCACACAGCCAGAAAAACACACACACACACACACACATACACACACACACACACACTCACATACACACCAAGCCAGGGTTTGAACCCAGGTCTCTCTGACACCAGGATTCTTATCCATGCCTCCAAAGCTTTTGGGTCTTAGAATTTATTCCAGACATTTTCATTCAGTAGTTCCCAATTTTCCAATGATGAAGACACCTTTCCAAATGACAAAACATTTCATAAGTCAACATATGAAAAGCTCAGCATAGAATCTGATACATACTGAACACCCAAGAAATGTTAGGTGAGTTGTCACCATAGCATTGTTACAAGGGACCCCAGGATAGCAATTGTACTTTCAGGATGCATTGATAACTATGCTTATGAAATAGTTAATTTTTATCCATTATAAGAGTTACATTCATCTGAGACAAAAAGAGTACTCTGTGTGTATAAATATAGGTATGAGGGTACTATATGTGATTTGCTGAATACAAAAAATACTTGTAGCACATATGAATATGCAGACCTTATAAAACACACACACATCCCAGATTAGGAACTCCTCTTGAGGTCCCAACTTTTCACTGAGTGGTATTCCAGGACATTCCCTTAGCTGTCCCCTTCCTCCCATTTGTGAACAGTGTATCCGTAGGATGCTGCACCTCCAAATACACATGTTATGCATATCTTTACTTAATTTCACCACTTTTTAACATATTTAAGTACTTGCCTAGGCAGGAATTTAAATAGATGCAACAGAGCTACCTACATAAATCAGCCCATCACTGCAATATATAATTTCTCCCATAAGCCAATAATAATTCAATTAAATAATTATCAGAGCTGGATGGAGATGAGCAAAATAAAGAGTGACTTTAAGGAGAGAGGTAAAGCATTTAGAATACGAGAAACATGGAGATAGGAAGATTATCATTAGTTGCGGCTCTCACTGTTATTTTAGAGACTCTAATATGTTTGCTGTGGGCATCTTTATGATAATATTATGATTTTAGAGACTCTAATATGTTTGCTGTGGGCATCTTTATGATAATATTATGTCTATTTCAATTCAAAACAAGGGATTATTTTTAATAACCTTTTCCCTAATTACAAAAGTAACATGATTTTTTAAATTAAAAAAACACACAATAGTTTAGGGCAAAAAGTAATCATAATGCCCTTACCCACACATTATAGAGCTATTAACATTTTCATTACCTTCACTCAGTCTCTTACCCATATATTTATTTATTTTTCTAACTATTTATATATCCTTATATTTCTGTACTTACTAAAACTGGTATCATATGATATATAAAGCTTAGTTCTGCCTCTTTCATTTAGCATCATATATTGAGATATTTCCCATTAACTATTCCTCAAAAACATAAGTAATGGCATTAAAATATTCCATCTCACAGGCTTAAAGATAATTATCATTGTGATTCTTTACTATCATTTAGAAACATGAACATGGCAGAAGGGAACTTTTCTCAAGAAGAAAAAAACCTTTTAAAAATAACTTTTATGGTGTTAAATGTAACTTGGTAAACAGCAAACAAAAGGATACATGCAACCTCTTCACCATGAGATTAAGGACCATATTTGCCTTATCTACCATATCTTCAAGGTCTAGGAGAGTCCCTGGTACAATGAATATTTATTTAAAGGAAGGAAAATACATATGGCTAGGCATTGAAGTTTGAAGGTTATACTTGGAGAACTGCACACTTCAGGAGTCTAGAAAACTTCTCAATTCCCCAATCACCATAAGCTGCCACTAGATGAAATGGTGATCAGGAAGAAAAGACAGTAAAACATTATGTTTTCCTGTCTTGTAGATGGCATTTGTGTTAAGCGTAAACTGCTTCCATTTTGCAGCATGCAAACTAGCTGGCAACACAGCAAAGTCGACTGTAGTAATTTGATCCCCAAAATGCATGAAGAATTTATCAGATCCAGACAATGTGGGAATAAACTGACGCATCTTCAACCAGATTTTCCAATCATTCTTCCTGGGACATAAGCTTGGGCAGGGTAGAATTTCCATGATTCATCCTATCAAATCATAAAGATGTCATAGGGCTGCCACCAATGGACCATTAACTGTTGCCAGGAATATTACATTCATTCCTTCGACTAAAAAGATGGCAATTCTAACATTCATAGAGGGATTTTGAACATTTACTTAAAAATAAGCTTTTTGCTCTCAATTTAGACAAAGTTCATTCTAGCTTTGCTCTTGCTTTGTTTACAGTTAAGTTCCACTTTAGTCAACAGGTTAGGAATTTAGGATACCTGCTTGTTTTACTTATACTTGTCTCAAATTGTAGTTTTAAAGCACTGCTTTGCCCTATCTTATTAATTTACAGATTTAACAGCAAACACAAGGCCAAGATATTATAAATCCCCAGTGTTCAGAGCAGTCAAAAATAAGTAGCAATTCCTGAAGAAGGGGGACATTTGTGCTGCTCTTCACACTGAAGATCTTTCTTGTCCTTGGGCTGTGTCCAGGGGCTGCTAACTTCTCAGAAGTTAACTCAGTGACAAAAGACATTTTGGTGCCTCATTAGACACAGGCAAAGGCCAGACCGTAAACTCTCCAGCAGGAAAGAAAGTGCCTAGCTAGCGGTACTGGGGTTGGGAGGTGCTCTATAGTCAAGGGGGGCATCTATGAGATAAAGCAAGAAATGTCACAACTAGGCCAGGGGAAAATTCAGGCTGAGAAACTGCAGAATGGTCACAGCCTCAGACACCAACTCCCTTAGGAACTCAGGCCCAGAAAATGAGAAATGAGGGGCCTGGTGACTTAGCTGAGCCCCAGAGTCCATTTCACCTTCCATCTAGTTTCTACAGTATAGACATAGTCAAATCTGATCACTCCCCTCCTCTGCTGAACCCCTTCAAAGGCTCCTCAGCACCCAATGGATCAAGTCCAAGCATCTCAAGGCAGCACTTGAGGCCTTTTTGCCACTCTGCCCAGCCTCCTTTCACACCACCCCCTTTTTCTCACTAGTTTCAGATCACTGCTGATTTCAGTGCCAGTGCATGAGAGTGTCATTCATACCCTTCCTTGTCTTGAATCTGCACCCCTGCTCCACCTCCCATCTATTTGCTCCTCCTCCCTCTGTCTGGCCTGCTTCCTGACTCTATTCAGGCCTTCAAGATGCCTTGCTTGACCTCCCAGACTAGACTGCCCTCTCCTAATATACACCACAACTCTCCTTGGTCACAGTCCTTATTCTGGAAATGTCCTTTGAGATGTCAGCCAGGCCAGAGGGAACAGGCAGGTTGGGACATTCCCTTAGCTGTTCCCTCTTAGACTGTAAGCTCCATGAGGGTGTAGACCATTTCTGTCAATTTATTGCTTTATTTCCCATGCCCAGCACACTGAGGCACATAGCCAGTGCTAAGGAAATATTCACTAAATAAGTGGACCCATAAACTGTTTTGTTCCTCGTTCAAAGGGATTCAGAAGGAAGAGCATTGGGTCTTGCCCAAAGTCCTCTCACAGGTAGGTAAAACAAGGGTCTGTCTGGGGACCCAGGCCCACCTTGGCTGCTGACTCTTAATTACAGAGAATAGTGTCAGTAAGCGCAAATAGCATCCTCCTCATTTTTAACCTACAGACAAGCAGCAGTTCCAGGCTTCAGAAAATTCTCAAGTGAGTTGACCATGAAAAATACAACTGAAAGTTTCATAAAGTCACAGCATTCAGTCCCTTCAGGCAGAGGAGCATTGCTTTGTGGAGTTGAGAGAACCACATTTCCCCTCTTACTTCGCCCTTGACAACATACTACAGTATAAAAATACATACTTTACACACAAACAAACCCCAAGCAGAAACCTTTAAAGTACTTTTATGATTAGCAGACATTTTCCCAATATCATCAGTGGGAGATATGTAAACATATATTGTAGTAAATTAAATTGCAAGTAAAACTCCTGATCTCATTTCTTCCTCCTAACTGACAATAGTTCTCTTTTGTGCAAGAGCGAACTACCTGGGGGCTGATAAATCAGACATAAAGAAGAGAACTTGGCAAGGGATTCTAGTCAGTTGCTATGGAGATGTGCATTTGTGTTTCCTTTAATAAAAATTATTATCCACGGGAAAAACAATTTGTTGAGCCCATCTAATTGAAAAGAAGGGAACAGGCCAAAAATGGCAGAGTTTAATATTTATGACTCAAAATCTGCTTTTAAGCCTGGAGAATGCATATATAATAGGGATAAACTATTTTTACATAATTTAATTATTGCCTGATGGCATATTCTTGAGGGAATCCATATAGGTGTGCTTTGTACTAAATACTACATTTTATGCTATAAAATGAATAATGCATCCACACTGTAGGTGTGGGCTTTTACTTTGTGCTTAAGTTACACTATCAGGCATTCCTTAGGAAATTCCACAACTGAAGACTCAAAATTGAATTAAGCTAAGTAAACTGTCAAAGCCAAAAATCTCCATTAAATGCAGAAATCTTGGATAAACTGCTGGGCCTTTTCAGTAAGTGTTATTTTGTTTATGTCTCATCTTTCAGATCTGCATGTTTTAAAAACTGTAATATAAACATAAAATTATTTGACCAACTTTAGTCATCCCTGATATTCAATTAACATTTAATAGAAGACAACCTGTATCTACATTTGAATATCTACCATATGACAAGAAAGTTACATATACTGACACTTTTAATCTTCACAGCAACCCTACAAATTAGAAGTTCCTAGCTCCATTTTACAGAAGTTGAAACAAGAAACTAAAAGCTTAAACTATACTTTCTGAATAGGAGTGATATCACCACCAAGGGGGCAAAAGTTGGTTCTTAGGGGATGAAAACACTATAGATATTACAATAGTTGCTAGACTTCCAAAGCTAAACCCTATTCCATAAAATTTATCTCATTAGGTAGAACTTAAATTTAATATAATTTTTCAGCCAGAGCAATCATACAAGAGAAAGAAATAAAGGGCATCCAAATTGGTAAAGAAGAAGTCAAACTGTCGCTGCTTGCTGATACATAACTGTATACCTGGAAAACCCTAAAGACTCATCCAAAAACCTCCTAGAACTAGTAAATGAATTCAATAAAGTTTTAGGATACAAAATCAATGTACACAAATCAGGTGCCCTGCTATACACCAACAGCAACCAAGCTGAGAATCAAATCAAGAACTCAAACCCTTTTACAATAGCTGTGAACAATTAAAATAAAATACTTAGGAATATACTTAAGCAAGGAGGTGAAAGACTTCTACAAGGAAAACTACAAAACACTGCTGAAAGAAATTACAGACAGCACAAACAAATGGAAACATATCCCATGCTCATGGATGGGTAGAATCAATATCATGATTAATTCTACACAATAGCAATCTACAAATTCAATGCAATTCCCATCAAAATACCACCAGCATTCTTCACAGAAGTAGAAAAAAAAAATCCTAAAATTCATGTGGAACCAAAAAAGAACCCACATAGCCAAAGCAAGACTAAGCAAAAAGAACAAATCCGTAGGCATTACATTACCTGACCTTCAAACTATTCTATAGGGCCATAGTCACCAAAACAGCATAATACTGGTATAAAAACAGGCATATAGACCAATGGAACAGAATAGAGAACCCAGAAATTAAGCCAAATACTTACGGCCAACTGAACTTTAACAAACCAAACAAAAACACAAAGTGGGGAAAGAACACCCTATTCAACAAATGTTGCTGGGATATTTGGCAAGTCACATGTAGAAGAATGAAACTGGATCCTCATCTCTCACCTTATACAAAAATCGACTCAAGATGGATCAAAGACTCAAATCTGAAACCATAAACATTCTAGAAGATAACATTGGAAAAACCTTTCTAGACATTGGCTTAGGCAAAGACTTCATGACCAAGAACCCAAAAGCAAACTCAAAAAAAACAAAGATAAATAGATGGGACTTAATTAAACTAAAAAGCTTCTGTACAACAAAAGTAATAAAGAAAACAGAGAACAGAATAAACAGAGAACTGACAGAGTAGGAGAAAAATTTTCAAAATCTATACATCTGACAAAGGACTAATGTTAAGAATCTACAAGGAACTCATACAAATCAGCAGGAAAAAACATAATCCCATCAAAAAGTGGGCTAAGGACATGAACAGACTATTTTCAAAAGAAGGTATACAAATGGCCAACAAATACATGAAAAAAATTCTCAATATCACTAATAATCAGGGAAATGCAAATCAAAACCGCAATGTGATACCACCTTACTCTTTCAAGAATGACCATAATCAAAAAATCAAAAAATAATAAATGTTGGTGTGGACGTGGTAAAAAAGGAACACTTTTACACTACTGGTGGGAATGTAAATTAATACAACCACTGTGGAAAACAGTGTGGAGATTCCTTAAAGAACTAAAAGTAAATCTACCATTTGATCCAGCAATCCCACTCCTGGGTATCTACCCAGAGGAAAATAAGTCATTACATGAAAAAGATACTTGCCACACGTTTATAGCGGCACAATTTGCAATTGCAAAAATATGGAACCAGCCCAAATGCCCATCAATCAACAAGTGGATACAGAAAATATGATATATATATGTGTGTGTGTGTGTGCACCAAAATATGGTATATACATATACATATACACACACACACACACACATGCACATGCACACACCATGGAATAGTACTCAGCCATGAAAAGGAACAAAATAATGGCATTTGCAGCAACCTGGATGGAACTGGAGACCATTATTCTAAGTGAAGCAACTCAGGAATGGAAAAACAAACATTCTATGTTCTCATTCATAAGTGGGAGCTAAGCTGTGAGGACACAAAGGCATAAGAATATACAATAGACTTTGCGGACTTTGGGGAAAGGGTGGGAGGGATGTGAAGGATAAAAGACTACACATGAGCTACAGCTCCCAGCATGAGCAACGCAGAAGACGGGTGGTTACTGCATTTCCAACTGAGGTACCGGGTTCATCTCACTGGGGATCTTCGGAAAGTGGGTGCAGGACAGTGGGTGCGGTGCACCGAGCATGAGCCAAAGCAAGGCGAGGCATCACCTCACCCAGGAAGTGCAAGGGGTCAGGGAATTCCCTTTCCTAGCCAAGGAAAGGGGTGACAGATGGCACCTGGAAAACTGGGTCACTCCCACCCTAATACTGTGCTTTTCCTATGGTCTTAGCAAACGGCACACCAGGAGATTATATCCTGTGTCTGGCTCAGAGGGTCCTACGCCCACGGAGCCTCGCTCATTGCTAGCACAGCAGTCTGAGATCAAAGTGCAAGTGGGCAGAGAGGCTGGGGGAGGGGCGCCCACCATTGCTGAGGCTTGAGTAGGTAAACAAAGCAGCCAGGAAGCTCGAACTGGGTGGAGCCCATCCCAGCTCAAGGAGGCCTGCCTGCCTCTGTAGACTCTGCCTCTGGGGGCAGAGCATAGCCAAACAAAAGGCAGCACAAACCTCTGCAGACTTAAATGTCCCTGTCTGACAGCTTGGAAGAGAGTAGTGGTTCTCCCAGCACGCAGCTTGACATCTGAGAACAGACAGACTGCCTCCTCAAGTGGGTCCCTGACTCCCGAGTAGCGTAACTGGGAGGCACCCCCCAGTAGGGGCAGACTGACACTTCATACAGCCGGGTACTCCTCTCAGACAAAACTTCCAGAGGAACAGCAACATCTGCTGTTCAGTATTCACTGTTCTGCAGCCTCCACTGCTGATACCCAGGAAAACGGGGTCTAGAGTGGACCTCCAGCAAACTCCAACAGACCTGCAGCTGAAGGTCCTGACTGCTAGAAGGAAAACTAACAAACAGAAAGGACATCCACACCAAAACCCCATCTGTACGTCACCATCATCAAAGACCAAAGGTAGATAGAACCACAAAGATGGGGAAAAAACAGAGCAGAAAAACTGTAAATTCTAAAACTCAGAGCGCCTCTCCTCCTCCAAAGGAATGCAGCAACGGAACAAAGCTGGACAGAGAATGACTTTGACGAGTTGAGAGAAGAAGGCTTCAGACAATCAAACTTCTCCGAGCTAAAGGAGGAAGTTCGAACCCATGGCAAAGAAGTTAAAAACCTTGAAAAAAGATTAGACGAATGGATAACTAGAATAACCAATGGAGAGAAGCCCTTAAAGGACCTGATGGAGCTGAAAACTACAGCACGAGAACTACGTGATGAATGCACAAGCTTCAGTAGCTGATTCAATAAACTGGAAGAAAGGGTATCAGTGATGGAAGATCAAATGAATGAAATGAAGCATGAAGAGAAGTTTAGAGAAAAAAGAATAAAAAGAAACGAACAAAGCCTCCAAGAACTATGGGACTATGTGAAAAGACCAAATCTACATCTGATTGGTGTACCTGAAAGTGACGGGGAGAATGGAACCAAGTTGGAAAACACTCTGCAGGATATTATCCAGGAGAACTTCCCCAATCTAGCAAGGCAGGCCAACATTCACATTCAGGAATTACAGAGAACGCCACAAAGATACTCCTCGAGAAGAGCAACTCCAAGACACATAATTGTCAGATTCACCAAAGTTGAAATGAAGGAAAAAATGTTAAGGGCAGCCAGAGAGAAAGGTCATGTTACCCACAAAGGGAAGCCCATCAGACTAACAGCTGAGCTCTCGGCAGAAACTCTACGAGCCAGAAGAGAGTGGGGGCCAATATTCAACATTCTTAAAGAAAGAATTTTCAACCCAGAATTTCATATCCAGCCAAACTAAGCTTCAGAAGTGAAGGAGAAATAAAATCCTTTACAGACAAGCAAATGCTGAGAGATCTTGTCATCACCATGCCTGCCCTAAAAGAGCTCCTGAAGGAAGCACTAAACATGGAAAGGAACAACCGGTACCAGCCACTGCAAAAACATGCCAAATTGTAAAGACCATCGAGGCTAGGAAGAAACTGCATCAACTAACGAGCAAAATAACGAGCTAACATCATAATGACAGGATCAAATTCACACATAACAATATTAACCTTAAAGGTAAATTGGCTAAATGCTCCAATTAAAAGACACAGACTGGCAAATTGGATAAAGAGTCAAGACCCATCAGCGTGCTGTATTCAGGAAACCCATCTCATGTGTAGAGACACACATAGGCTCAAAATAAAGGGATGGAGGAAGATCTACCAAGCAAATGGAAAGCAAAAAAAGGCAGATGTTGCAATCCTAGTCTCTGATAAAACAGACTTTAAACCAACAAAGATCAAAAGAGACAAAGAAGGCCATTACATAATGGTAAAGGGATCAATTCAACAAGAAGAGCTATCTATCCTAAATATATATGCACCCAATACAGGAGCACCCAGATTCATAAAGTAAGTCCTTAGAGACCTACAAAGAGACTTAGACTTCCACACAAAAATAATGGGAGAGTTTGACACCCCACTGTCAACATTAGACAGATCAATGGGACAGAAAGTTAACAAGGATATCCAGGAATTGAACTCAGCTCTGCACCAAGCAGACCTAATAGACACCTACAGAACTCTCCACCCCAAATCAACAGAATATACATTCTTCTCAACACCACACTGCGCTTATTCCAAAATTGACCACATAGTTGGAAGTAAAGCACTCCTCAGCAAGTGTAAAAGAAAAGAAATTAAAACAAACTGTCTCTCAGACAACAGTGCAATCAAACTAGAACTCAGGATTAAGAAACTCACTCAAAACCGCTCAACTACATGGAAACTGAACAACCTGCTCCTGAATGACTACTCGGTACATAACGAAATGAAGGCAGAAATAAAGATGTTCTTTGAAACCAACGAGAACAAAGACACAACATACCAGAATCTCTGGGACACATTTAAAGCAGTGTGTAAAGGGAAATTTATAGCACTAAATGCCCACAAGAAAAAGCAGGAAAGATCTAAAATTGACACCCTAACATCACAATTAAAAGAACTAGAGAAGCAAGAGCAATCACATTCAAAAGCTAGCACAAGGCAAGAAATAACTAAGATCAGAGCAGAACTGAAAGTGATAGAGATACAAAAAACCCTTCAAAAAATCAATGAATCCAGGAGCTGACTTTTTGAAAAGATCAACAAAATTGATAGACTGCTAGTAAGACTAATAAAGAAGAAAAGAGAGAAGATCAAATAGATGCAATAAAAAATGATAAAGGGGATATCACCACCGATCCCACAGAAATGCAGACTACCATCAGAGAATACTACAAACACCTCTACACAAATAAACTAGAAAATCTAGAAGAAATGGATAAATTCCTCGACACATACACCCTTCCGAGACCAAACCAGGAAGAAGTTGAATCTCTGAATAGACCAATAACAGGCTCTGAAATTGAAGCAATAATTAATAGCTTACCAACCAAAAACAGTCCAGAACCAGACAGATTCACAGCCGAATTCTACCAGAGGTATAAGGAGGAACTGGTACCATTCCTTCTGAAACTATTCCCATCAATAGAAAGAGGGAATCCTCCCTAACTCATTTTATGAGGCCAGCATAATCCTGATACCAAAGCCTGGCAGAGACACAACAAAAAAAGAGAATTTTAGACCAATATCCTTGAGGAACATCGATGCAAAAATCCTCAGTAAAATACTGGCAAACCAAATCCAGCAGCACATCAAAAAGCTTGTCCACCATGATCAGGTGGGCTTCATCCCTGGGATGCAAGGCTGGTTCAACAAACGCAAATCAATAAAAATAATCCAGCATATAAACAGAACCAAAGACAAAAACCACATGATTATCTCAATAGACGCAGAAAAGGCCTTTGACAAAATTCAACAACACTTCATGCTAAAAACTCTCAATAAATTAGGTATTGATGGGACGTATCTCAAAATAACAAGAGCTATCTATGGCAAACCCACAGCCAATATCATACTGAAGGGGCAAAAACTGGAAGCATTCCCTTTTAAAACTGGCACAAGACAGGGATGCCCTCTCACCACTCCTATTCAACATAGTGTTGGAAGTTCTGGCCAGGGCAATCAGTCAGGAGAAGGAAATAAAGGGTATTCAATTAGGAAAAGAGGAAGTCAAATTGTCCCTGTTTGCAGATGACATGATTGTATATCTAGAAAACCCCATTGTCTCAGCCCAAAATCTCCTTAAGCTGATAAGCAACTTTAGCAAAGTCTCAGGATACAAAATCAATGTGCAAAAATCACAAGCATTCTTATACACCAATAACAGACAAACAGAGAGCCAAATCATGAGTGAACTCCCATTCACAATTGCTCCAAAGAGAATAATACCTAGGAATCCAACTTACAAGGGATGTGAAGGACCTCTTCAAGGAGAACTACAAACCACTGCTCGACAAAATAAAAGAGGATACAAACAAATGGAAGAATATTCCATGCTCATGGGTAGGAAGAATCAATATCGTGAAAATGGCCATACTGCCCAAGGTAATTTACAGATTCAATGCCATCCCCATCAAGCTACCAATGACTTTCTTCACAGAATTGGAAAAAACTACTTTAAAGTTCATATGGAACAAAAAAACAGCCTGCATTGCCAAGTCAATCCTAAGCCAAAAGAACAAAGCTGGAGGCATCACGCTACCTGACTTCAAACTATGCTACAAGGCTACAGTAACCAAAACAGCATGGTACTGGTATCAAAACAGATTTATAGACCAATGGAACAGAACAGAGCCCTCAGAAATAATGCCACGTATCTACAACTATCTGATCTTTGACAAACCTGACAAAAACAGGAAATGGGGAAAGGATTCCCTATTTAATAAATGGTGCTGGGAAAACTGGCTAGCCATATGTAGAAAGCTGAAACTGGATCCCTTCCTTACACCTTATACAAAAATTAATTCAAGATGGATTAAAGACTTACATGTTAGACCTGAAACCATAAAAACCCTAGAAGAAAACCTAGGCAATACCATTCAGGACATAGGCATGGGCAAGGACTTCACATCTAAAACATCAAAAGCAATGGCAACAAAAGCCAAAATTGACAAATGGGATCTAATTAAACTAAAGAGCTTCTGCACAGCAAAAGAAACTACCATCAGAGTGAACAGGCAACCTACAGAATGGGAGAAAATTTTTGCAATCTACTCATCTGACAAAGGGCTAATATCCAGAATCTACAAAGAACTCAAACAAATTTACAAGAAAAAAACAAACAACCCCATCAACAAGTGGGTGAAGGACATGAACAGACACTTCTCAAAAGGAGACATTTATGCAGCCAAAAGACACATGAAAAAATGCTCATCATCACTGGCCATCAGAGAAATGCAAATCAAAACCACAATGAGATACCATCTCACACCAGTTAGAATGGCGATCATTAAAAAGTCAGGGAACAACAGGTGCTAAAGAGGATGTGGAGAAATAGGAACACTTTTACACTGTTGGTGGGACTGTAAACTAGTTCAACCATTGTAGAAGTCAGAGTGGCAATCCCTCAGGGATCTAGAACTAGAAATACCATTTGACCCAGCCATCCCATTACTGGGTATATACCTAAAGGATTATAAATCATGCTGCTATAAAGACACATGCACACGTAGGTTTATTGCGGCACTATTACAATAGCAAAGACTTGGAACCAACCCAAATGTCCAACAATGATAGACTGGATTAAGAAAATGTGGCACATATACACCATGGAATACGATGCAGCCATAAAAAATGATGAGTTCATGTCCTTTGTAGGGACATGGATGAAGCTGGAAACCATCATTCTCAGCAAACTATCGCAAGGACAAAAAACCAAACGCCGCGTGTTCTCACTCATAGGTGGGAACTGAACAATGAGAACACATGGACACAGGAAGGGGAACATCACACACCGGGGCCTGTTGTGGGGTGGTTTGGGGGGAGGGATAGCATCAGGAGATATACCTAATGTAAATGACGAGTTAATGGGTGCAGCACACCAACATGGCACATGCATACATATGTAACAAACCTGCAAGTTGTGCACATGTACCCTAAAACTTAAAGTATAATAAATAAAATAAAATTGTAAAAAAAGACTACACATTGGGTACCGTGTACACTGCTTGGGTGATGGATGCACCAGAATCTCAGAAATCACCACTAAAGAACTTACTCATGTAACCAAACACCACCTGCTCCCCTGAAACCTATTGAAATTTAAGAAAATAAAATAAATTTAATAAAATTTTTCTTCTTAGGTGGGACAATAATGAAAAAGAAGACTAAGAAACTCTGGTCTAACCTCCAGCAAGTGATGGAGCCATTCATTTACTTCTTAAACAGACATCTGGGGAATGTCTGTGGGCTACACACTGTGCAGGGGCTAGGTGTATAGTGGTGAACAAAACCAATATGTATCCTGAGTTTCCCAAAGCTTCTAGCCCCAAGAGGGACACAAACGTAAATCAAATAACCACACAAGCAAAGATACTATTGAAAATCATGAAGACTGCTCTGATAGAAAAAGAGAGTACTGAGAGGTCAGAAACTGCCTCTTTACAGGTGCGACTTTAGGCTGAGAATTGAAGGACAAGAAGGCTCAAGTGCGAAAAAAAAAAAAAAAAAGAAATGGGAAAGAGTGTTGGGCTCAGAGAACCCACCAGAAAGACATGCTGCCTTGGAAACCAAGGAAGTAAGAGAGGAGCTGCTCCCTACTTCCAGAGATATTATTACTTCAATGGCTTAGTGGCCAAAGACTGATTTCCAGGTTCAAACCACAACTTTACTCCTGATAAGTTTGGGCAATTTTTTTCATCTCGCTGGGCCTCCCATTTTGGCATTCATAAAATACAGATACCATTGCCCACACGTGGCTGTTAGGGAGATTAAAATGAAAATTGCGGAAAGTGCATTGCATATGATAAAAGCATAATAAATTGGTTGTCTACAATAGTTATCATTATCATAAATAGATTAATACGACAAACAAAAGCAGATGCCTCTGAATGGCACAAAGACTGGGTCTGGCCTCCAGTCACAGTGTCAGTAATTGCCTTCTGTTTATCCCCTACAATATCTTACACTGTGATTATAGGGCTTTATGCAGATAAGACCAGCAGCACACACAGGGACTTCTGAATCATGATTATTTCTATGTGTTATAATTAGACACTATCCTCAGGTTCTGTTACGTCATGCCATTCTGCATTTCCCAAAAGATTTTCCAATATTCTGATGCCATGAAATGCTTTATTAAAAAAACAGGTTACACAGAAAAATGGTTTTGGAAACGCTGCCTACAATATGGGTCTGCTGGGTTTTGGAAACACTGCCTACAATCAGGGTTTCGGTTGCAAGCCAAAAATTGGCTGACTGAAGCAGAAATGTATTGAAAGGTTACAGGGCAGCTCACAGGATCATTGAGAGGGATGGAGAATCAGGCTGAGATGTCTCTCAGTCGACTCACGGCCCAAAGCACAACATAAAGCTGTCTCATCAGTCAGCAATGCCACTGTAGCTGGCGTGCCTGTCACAACCATCTCCAGCACTGACCACTGAACAGTGCCGCTGGCTCCACTGCAATTGTCCCTGGAGCCTGTGTGCTTCAGACTTCACCACTGCCACAGAGAATATCACTAGCTGCTGTCCAAATTTCTAGACTAACACATCTGATTGGCAAAGCCAAGGTCACGTGCTCAAGGGATGGTTGTCTGGGAAGTTGGGAAGTACACATCTGGTATTTCCTAGTTATTTGGTGGGAGTCAAGTTCTGCTTCCTACTAAGACTCTTAAGGTCGAGAATCCTCTCCACCAACTATAGAAAGGAGGTTCTGATACTGAAAAAAAGAAAAAAAAGATGAATGTGTATTATATCAATGGGCTCCAAATGTTTTGATCAGGTACTCTTATCAATGAAAATAATTGAGCATGCACCCTTAGTATATGTGCACATATTTCTAAGTTAAATATACATAATACTCTAATACTATGATAGATGAAGCAACCTGATAGAAGTCACACACATAAACAAACATCTGTTAGAGACACACAGTGAAGTAAGGAATTTCAAAATCTATAATCTAATTTGAAAATTGAAAATTTTCAAATTAGATTATAGATTTTTACAGCTATTACTATGATTCTCTTTTTCTCTCTGCTTTTTGTCAGGCTAACATTAGGTACTGACTAAGCATTAGCAAGTGTCAATAATGCAGAAGCCACCCACTTCTGCAAAACTGGGAATTGAATTCAAACAATGTTATTCTTCTGGTTTTGGTTATAGAATTCAAGAGATATTATTTCAGAGTCTACAAAAGTTGTCATCTCACCAAAAAAAAAAAAAAAGTAATTCTTGCTCATTGACTTTATTTATGCAGCATTCCCTGTAGAATAATAATAGATGCTTTACACAGAGTCCTGCACAGCAATCTTGCAACCTCCTATAGAAGAGAACACTGAGGGCAGGTTATGAACTTGCCCAAAGCCACACTCAATTCCAAGGTGTACTACCTACCTCCATGTAAACATCCTGTCATTTCTGCATAAAATCTAAAAAGCAGCCGGGCACAGTGGCTCACGCCTGTAATCCCAGCACTTTGGGAGGCCGAGGCGGGTGGATCACGAGGTCAGGAGATCGAGACCATCCTGGCTAACTCAGTGAAACCCCGTCTCTACTAAAAATACAAAAAATTTGCAGAGTGTGGTAGTGGGCGCCTGTAGTCCCAGCTCCTTGGGAGGCTGAGGCAGGAGAATGGTGTGAACCCAGGAGGCGGAGTGAGCAGAGATCGTGCCACTGCACTCCAGCCTGGGCGACAGAGCAAGACTCCGTCTCAAAACAAAAAAAAAAATCTAAAAAGCATTTCAAAATTCCTGAAACAATCTACACAATAGTACAATGAGAAGCTCTGTCATCTTCTGATTAAAAAATAAAAACTGAGGATACAAGAAGTAATTGATGACTCAGATAATTCACTCATCAGTGTAAGAAGAGATACCATTTTACTGTCAGGTACTGTCAAGAGTATATTAAAATGTTTTTAGTAATCAAAGGCAATGCTACTAGCAACATAGGACTCCAGATACTGAAAATTACTGAGGGTACTACATCCATGTGAAAATTATTGGTGCTGAGAAAGGCAGATAATATGAGATATACTGGTTGGAAGGACAGAGCAGATTAAAGTTATAGATTATATCTTCTGTTTGTGAGAAATGTCCACAACATACAGCTTGAACCCAGGTTCTCTAAGCCACATCCACACTACATTCCTCTTAGTTTCCCATGCAAACAATTTCTGTTTTTCCCTGACCTGCTGCAGAGAATGTCCCCCTTCATGGAACACCATGGACACACCACCACCACCACCTCCTGCTCCCCCATCATCCATTGGCCAACTGTTATTCTTCTCTCAATTCTCAACTACAACACCATTTGCTTGGTGAGGCCTTGTCTGACTGTTTAAAATAAGCTTGGGTGCTCTTGCGTACCACTGCCCAAAATTTTCTGTCTTCCCCCTTTCTGAACCATCTACTCATAAGTACTTATCTAATTTTTGGCTCCCCTAGAATGGAAGGTCAGAGTACAGTCACCATGTCGATCTTGAGCAATGAATATACTCCACACCTCCCCCATAGTAAATGCTCAACAAATATTGAATAGATGAATGAATGATAAACAAATGCTATACAACCGCTATAGCTAGATGCAAAATACATCATAGTCATCTTGTTTCTATGGGTCACAAAACCATACAAAAGCCTCCTGGCCACGACATGTGAAATGGAAAAAAGGAGACCTCTAGACAGACTCCCTCAAGCCTGGCAGAGCTTCAGGCAATGCCTGTATCTTTCCTCCATCCTGGGAACAAGCAGTTCCCTTCGTTGGCTTCGTATTGAGACCATCATACTTGTCTCCTCCCTCTATCTGCTCAGGGAGCAGCCATCCCCAGCTGGGTGCCTCTTCTCATGACAGGAATGAACACAGACTGTGCCACCACAGACCAAGCTCAGAGAGAAGAATTTAACCACTTCCCTCCCAAAAACAGGGCAGCTGACCATGTCTGTAGACAAATGTAGCTCTGTGGAATCTGGACTGTCCTCATCTCTTCATGTTCCATTTTTCAAAGGAATCTTTGTTTCTAAAATGAACATTTTGAAAACCAGGAATAGAGCATCCAAGTAAGTCAGTATGAATGATCCCACTGGAGGAGATTCCTTTGCTGGAAGAGCAAAGCTTGCTGGCATTGTGGTGGGACCTCTGTTAACCACTGTCCCCATTTCACACCACACTGATTGAATTATGCCTCTTAGATGGAAAAATATTTTCCCCAAAACCAAGATGGCACATAAATTGAAGGCAACATACGCAAGAAAGTGGAAGCCACATTTGTCAAATGCAGAGAGGATGAATTAATAAAAGGACAACAAACTCAAAGGCTACCAAAGAAAAATGGCAAAAAAAAAAAAAAAAAAAAAATGACAACCATTTTAAGTCTAGTTGACTTAGCAGGATAACCACACTATTTCTGCTGACACTTTAGCCCTGCAATGTATATAACTCTCCCCTTTTTTAAAATCCCTGCTTCTTGGCACCTATACCCTGACTACTGAACCTCTCTTTGGCACTCTCTGTAGTGACTAATTAGGACCCAGCCCTAGTAATAAAGCAGGGGGCCAACATTTTATCTTAGGATCCTTATTCTCTGAGTGACTATTTCTATGCTAAAAATTACTTGCAGTATTTTCCTCTCCACTAAGTACATTTTTAAAATACATTCTACAAAACATTATCTCCACATGTTAAAAGCTGCTAATTCTACATGTTAATTCAATCACATCTTTCAATGATATATTCTTACATAACTTCAAGTGAATAATATGTAAAGAGATATCCATAGCAACTTAGAATATAAACAAAAAATGACATATAGATTTTAAAGTTTGTGTATGTCCACCATCTGTCAATTAGTTTCACTAAGTAATATATTCATATACTCACAGAGTTATGTATAATCATATTTTTAGATTCAGATCAGCAAGAATGCTCAAGTTTAGCACAGCCAAAGGCTGGCTAGAGTGTGGAAAAGTCAGCCCTCTCATGCTCTGTGGGTGGATGTCTTAAGCAGCACAACTCATTTATAAGGGAATGTGGTAAAATTTTAATTAATTGTCCCACCAATCCCACTACTAGGAATTTGTCCAGTGAATTATTTACACAAGGACCTTAGTGTTTACGTTAAAGGATGTCTATAGCAGCATTATTCAGGGCACACACAAAAAAACCAAAATGTCCAAATCCAGAATAAAGAGGAAATAAGAAAGATAAAAATGACCAGGAGTTCAAGCTACAGCTTGAGTGGCAGGGGTGAGGGGTTTTTCATGGTGATGGAAATAGAGATGGCGGGGGTAAAAGGAACACAGAGCAGGTGAGGAGAGTACTTGTTTATTATTGTAAGGGAACAGTGCCACAGTCTATGCATCCTTTGTCATGGCATATGACAAATTTAACTATAGAACTTTGAGCAACTCTGAAATTATTATTGTGGCTGCAAGACAGACACACCATGCAAACACTGAAACACGGGTCAAGGCTTTCCAAGAAAAACACCCACACACGGGTTTTAATATGCAAGAATACCCACAGTTACAAACCAAACATGCATGTATTCTACATACAGACAACTGCACATTATTCTCTTCTACATTCCACTTCCTGGGAGGCCCCAAGAGATACTAATCAAAATAAGTAAATACTAATAAAAATCAGAGAAACTGAATACCCATTATGAGCCAGGAACATGCTAAGGGATTTACATGACCACCAACACAATGTTGGCAGGTGACCCAGAGTTAACTTTCTCACTGGGAGTGTTATCTCCTATCAACTCTTTTCTTGGCCTCTGATAAGAGGGGACCTGCTCCCATTCCTCATATACCTCCTGCCTATTCCCTTGTTCCCCCTGTCCATGTGTCCTCGGGCAAGTCCTTTCTCATCAACACCCAGCTCTTCTCATATTCTCCTGCTCTCACTCTTGCCTTCTACCCTATTCCTAGGTTTCTTTAGTAAAATCTCTCAAGATTTTCTCCACTCCCACCATGTGCCCCCTCCTTTTTTCCCCATTTGTTAACTGTTTCAAAAGGATCCCTGAAGGTATCAGCACACTACTAAGGGGGAAAAAATGAAAAAAGGGGGAAAAAAGCATTATCTGACATCTCAAAGCTGGCCTGGCACTCACACCAGGCCATGATAATCCACAATTGGACATAATAGTTCTCACAGAACACAACTTCAGACAAGGTTACACTGAGACCATGATAAGGCCACATCATAACTTTGTCTAAGCGCAGACAATAATGTCACTGTGCCACCCACAAAATACCAAACACTTCCTTCACTTGGCTAAAATAAGTGACTGCTTCTTATTTACCAATGAAAATTTTATCTTTGCTCTCTTGTCTTCATCATAGATAACATTTATTGAGATACCCAATCATAGAATTGTGCCCAATTTCTAATCTGCAGCAAAATCTCACTTCTTTAGACCCTTGCCTGAATCACCCAACCCAAACCGAAATCCTAAATTAGGCTTTTGTCTAACACCTTCTTACTAAGGCTCTGCATTGATGCATGTTCTCCCTCATTACAACAAGTGATAAAACCAATATAATCAACAACAGGTGTGTTCCTGGTACTCTGTGTTTAGGTAGCATTGACACTAACATCAAAGGGAAAGGAAGTCCTATGTTCTGAAGAAAAATAGGATGTCATCCTATTGATGCTTCCAGCCCACCAATGACCAGGCAGGCAAACACTCATGCCCAGCTCACAGGGATCCAGCTGGAACTTCACATCCTCAGAACCAACAATCTGCCTTCCTAAGCACTAGCATTTATGGCAATCAGAACTGCGCCTCATGCACTTGTGTCATCTTTCTGTTTATTGAAGTACTATCGCGACAGAGATGCTTTCTACTATTCTACTATTTTTCCAGTGAAAATATGTAATATTTCAGCCAGTGAAAAGAACTCGGATCCTAAGCAAATGAAATCTGTTATTTGCTCCAAGATACAAATTACCTACCTACAAAAGATTTAATGACCTATATTTCACTTATAATTGTTCCTATGAGCAATCGAGTCTCATTTGGTAACTTAGAGAAAATACTTCCAGCCCACATGCAAGAAGACTGCTTCTGTTTGATTGTTTTTAATTAATCCTCTGCAAGGAACCGAGTTTTGTTTGCCATCATCTCCCCAGCACCTAGCACCATGCCTAGTGGTGCTAGAAATATAACAGAGGCTCAAAATATTTGCTAACGTTCTGTAGTTGTACAAAATTAAAAGTGCACGAAAAGTGGTTATTAAAAGACAGGGAAGATACTCAGGAGGCTGAGGCCGGAGAAAGGCCTGAGTCCAGGAGTTCAAAACTGCAGTGTGCTATGACATTGTCACCGCACTCCAGCCTGGGCAACAGAGTGAGACCTCATCTCTCTCTGTCTCTCTCTCTATATATATACATAAAAAGACAGGAAAGAGATGTGAAAAGGTGAAGTTTTAGAGGTATGATGAGATAGTACAAGGCACTACGGGAATGACAAATGGGTCTCCACCCTACTCCCAGGCTACACTCTCAACTGGTGGCCAGGGAGAAAGAGCATATAAACACTCCTGTCTACAAGTCCTAGACTCACTAGCTCTCTTCTCCGTCTTAACTCCTAACATCCTTCTTGGCAACCTCCACCTTCCTACGACAGACTCATCCAAACTCCCTGGGCCTCTTATTTTTTACCCTTCTTCTCCAATAATGTTTTAATTTGCTGTATTGTAGATGCCCATGATTACTCCAAAGACATTGGCAGCACCCAAAACTGCCCCTTGTTTAAAATTCTTATGCAAACACACTTCTCTTTAAACTCACTTTACCTCCAGCTTACTTGCTCAACTACCTCCACCTCAGTGTGCTCTGTAACCTACAGATCCCACCACATTCTCATCAGCTCTCCCTAATCATTCCCCCACTGGCCCTGCTTGGATTCCAAGTCACTCATCATAACCACTCCTTTGCAAATACCCTCACATCCTTTCCTCCTCTTGTCCCATAGAATTCACCTCCATTCTTAATGTTAAATACAGATACAGTGTGTTCTGTTACAAGATCTGTTTTCATAAAACCAATGAGCTCAAATGTAATTGGTGAACAGGGGAATGAATTCACTATAATGTGGAAGTTGCATCGGTTCCTGGGCAGTTTTTCTAAAGCAATGGGGAGTAAGGTATAGGAGCACACTGACAGCCTCCAACAGGAAAGAAAGCAAACAGCTTTCAGTTCGGCTAAAATCCTCTCTGCTCTTTTTTTTTTTTTAATTAAAAAAAAAAATCCCTTTAGCATGTGAAGGTCCCTCCCTACAAGGGCATACCCCAGGTTTACTGGATGTCACGTTGTACCAAATTGTACTTCTCCCTGTGCCCTCCCGAACAGAAGCCCCCCTGACTCCGCTTTGCTTCCATCTGCACTGCCTCTGCACCCAAAAACTAGTTTTCCACCCTACTCTTTCTTGTGCCTTTGTATTATCTCATGAGACTGACAGCACCATGAGCTGGTGAGGATGTGACACTAGAACATCTACGTGGTGCTGGTGGGAATGCAAATCAGGAAAACCACTGGGAAAACGATTTAGCAGTATCTACCAAACTACTTTGTGCCCCAGAAATTCCACCCAAGAGAAATGAGCGAAGATGTCCACCAAAAGATACGCACAAGAATGCTCATAGCAGCACTACATAGAATAAACAAAAGCAGGAAACAACTACATCATCAACAGGGGACTGGATAAGCAAGTTGTGGTATATTCACATAATGGGAAATTGCACAATAATAAAACATAAGTTACAGATATGGATAACAACATGAAAGAATTTCATAGACATGACCATGAGAGAAGAAGTCAAACACAAAAGTAGATACAATAGAAATCCATGTATGTGAACCTCAAGGGCTGGCAGAAGAGTGATTACCTCGAGGAGACAATACTGATGGGGAGGGGCATAGTGGTCTGCTGGGGACAGGAAACTTCCTATATTTTCATCTGAGTGGTGATGATATAAATGTAAATTTTTTTATTCGTCATTTCTAACTGTGGTAAAATATACATAATATTTACCATCTCAACCATTTTTCCCTGTAGATTTCAGTGGAATAAGTACATTCACTTTGTTGTGCAACCGTCACCACCATCCATCTCCGGAACTTCCCAAATTGAAATTCCATGTTCATTAAACAATAATTCTCCCTTCTCTCATGTCCTACCCTTGTACCAGCTATTGGCAACCATCATTCTACTTCCTGTCTCTATGAATCTGACTGCTCTAAGTACTTCATATAAGCAGAATCATACAGTATTTGCCTTTGTGTGATTTCACTTAGCATAATGTCCTTAAGTTTCATCCATGTCTAGCTTCTGTTGGAACTTCCTTCCATTTTAAGTCTGAATAATATTCCATTTTATGTCTATATCACCTTTTGTTTTGCCATTCAATTGCTGATGCATGCCTCAGTTGCATCTACCTGTTGGCTACTGTAAATATTGCTGCTATGCACATGGTGTACAAGTATCTGAGTTTCTGCTTTCAGTTCTTTGGTGTATGTACCCAGAGGGTATAAAAATTACTTTAATTCATCAAACTGTATGTTTAAGATGTGTATACTTTACTGATTTGTACGTTATGCATTTTTAAAAGTGTAAAATAACTAAAGAGCAATGACAACAACAAAAATATCCCCCAAAATATCTTCCAGCTGCACTTAGATGCCTACTTGGGCCGCCTTTATGGCTTTTTGGGGGATGGGGTAGGGCAGGGAGGGGTTCCAGTTCATGTTTTTGTTAATGCTTTGGTTATAATGGGTAAGAGTCCATACCAGTCCTATTTTTCCCACAAGCCCCAATCCTAATATTAATGCATAATTTTACAGAATGCTTTTTTCCAGAACTTCACGTACTTTGTTATAATATTTAAAATATACCCAACATATACTTATTTGGCATATATTTACCAAGTGCCAGGCATTATTCCTATTTATTGAGGATACAGCAGTGAACAAAACAGACAAAAAGGCCTTGCCTTTTAAGGGCTTGCACACTAATAGATAAATGTTTTTAATAGGTATTCATATGTTATTTATCAACAGTTCCCCCATGGCATATAAACTCCATGAGGGCAAGTTCTGTCCTATGTCCACTCCTAAGCACAGTGCATTATACATAGAAGGTGCTTCTACCATTCTTAGAGCTATCATTCTTAAAGCACTTTTGGCCAACCTCTGGATTTCACAGATAAAGGCAGTTTCAGAGAAATGATAATAGCAGCCCAAGTCACACTGTTAATAAATATCCAACCGGAATGGAACTAGGACTCTTTCATACAGAACAGGACAAACTGTAAGAGCTAAGGGTTCTTAGATATGATACTTAAGTACAAAGTCTGAAGGGGTTTTAGTCTTTGCTCAGAGAATCATTCAAGAAGAAAAACAGTAACAAGCTAAAGCAATCAAAGATAATGAGGCAGTCCTTGCCATTTTTTCCAGAAGGCTTCTAGTCTTATTATGAGGCTTATTAATTACTTAAGCAGAAGACATGATGTGGATTGAGACATCTCTAATAATAAATGAAAAATGAGAGTAAATTTTATTGTGCAAGGAATTGAAAACATTCTAACTAGTACATGGAATTAGGAACATTCTGAGGCTCAGCTCTAAAAACTCTATAGGTTAGATCATTTTCTCCTTTGGCAAATATCTAGTCTTTTTTTTTTTTTTTTTTTTTTTTTTTGAGATGGAGTCTCGCTCTGTCGCTCAGGCTGGGGTACAGTGGCATGATCTCAGCTCACCTCCGCCTTCTGGGGTCAAGCAATTCTCCTGCCTCAGCCTCCTGATTAGCTGGGATTACAGGCGCCTGCCACCACACCCGGCTAAATTTTGTATTTTTAGTAGAGACAGGGTTTCACCATATTGGCCAGGCTGGTCTTGAACTCCTGACCTCAGATAATCCGCCAGCCTCGGCCTCCCAAAGTGCTGGGATTACAGGCATGAGCAACCATGCCTGGCCAAATATCCAGTCTTACAATGATGTTCGTTAATAATTTAAGCAGAAGACATAATGCTGATTAAGACATCTCTGATGATAAATAGAAAATGAGAATATACTTCATCGTTCTTAAATAGCATCCATCACACTATTGAGCCTTAAATTTAGTAAGTAAAATAATTTATCAAACCCATTATTTGAAAAGGTGATAAAGCCAATTTCAAAACCAGTAGTAAATAAAGCAGGACTGCATCCATGTATCACCCATTAAATTGGGGGTTTTTTGTTTGTTTTTTGTAAAGATGGGGTCTTGTCATCTTGCCCAGGTTGATCTAGAACTCCTGGGCTCAAGCACTCTTCTTGTCTCAGCCTACCAAAGTGCTGGGATTACAGACATGAGCCGCCACAGTTGGCCTAAAGTGGTTTTAAAAGCATTCAAATTATTATAAATAGGGTATTCCCTTAGAATTCTTGAATTCAAAGTCATTGCTCAGGAAAAAAAAAAGAATTTTATAATTTATGTATTGCAGAATTATGTATGTAAGAAAACATTGCCTTCTTAATAGCTAGAGCTAAATGAAACATTTGTGCTTTTTGGAAGCATTTTATTGTTAGAGTAGGAGAAAAAGATAAACTCAAAATTGTGTCAAAAAATGAAAACAGTATAAATGGCATTCACATGTTCTTTGCCACTTCTCTCAGTATCTCCAGGACACACATTACCTCTTATACATATTATTGAAATAGTTTTTAGGCCTATTTCACCCAAGTGATAAGAAAATTAAAAATAGGATTAAAATATGCATCAGGTGCTGCCTAAGGGCAAAGTATCATGACATGGTGTTTTATCTTCTTTCAATCCTCACAATAACCCTAAGAAGTAGGAACTATTATTACTCCCATTTTACAGATATGGAAACTGAGGCTTAGACCTATTTTAGTTGAAATTCAAACTAGGACAGTCTGATTCCAGGGCTCATGCCTTTAAGCATTATAATATATACATGTATCATAGCTTCTGCTCTGACGCCAGATTAAGCTCGCTAAACTGTGGTGCTCCAATACCCTGGATGACTCCTTCTGCATTAAGAAAAGAATTATTTTACCAAGCATTCAAAACCCTCCCTGCCCTGACCCCAAAACCTATCTTTGAAGGCCAATCTCTTGCACTTCTATCATTGACTGAGCATTCTTTTCTCAATATACAAAAGACTTTCCAAGCCTTTCACCTGTGTACACACTCTTCTCTCAGGAATGCCCTTCCAATTCATCTTTTCCAGTCAAATCGCAACACATTATCTGAGACCTGGCTCAGAAGCCACCACCTGCCATTGTGGCATTCCCTCAACCAACTATGCATGTGGGGATAGCATCTAGACTGGCTACCTTGTATGCAAACATTACAATTAGAACTCCATGACAGTTCATGATGTAAGTATACACAATGCATTATAAATTACAGTTGTTGAACTTGAGACAATTATACAGAGGTTAGAGTTATGATACATTTATCTGCACTGAACATATTCCTCTTTTTTGAGCCATAGAGAACCAGGTCATGCCTGATAGCCTGAATTTCAGCAGCTAAGCACTACCGTCAGCTGATCTCTTCATGAAAAATAATATTAAAATTGTCAATAGTGACTTCACTAACAGACCCACAGCCTAGTTACTGAGCATCAGACCATTTCTCTCATAGATCCCCTAGATAAGAAAGGAAAATCATTCTAAATAAATTAACTCTTCAGTTGCCTCCACACAAAATGAGGTAAGCAATAACAAACTAGAAAAAAAAATCTTTATAGAATGTAAGACCTAGACATAGTTTTTTTTTTTTCTTTTTTGAAACAAAGTCTTGCCCTGTTGCCCAGGCTGGAGTGCAGTGGCATGATCATAGCTCACCATAGTCTCAAACTTCAGTGTATAATTGATCCTCCTGCCTCAGCCTCCCAAGCAGCTGGGACTACAGGCATGCACCACCACTCCTGGCTTTTTTTTTTTTTTTTTTGACAGAGCTGGGGTCTCTGTTTCCCAGGCTAGTCTTGAACTCCTGGCCTCAAGGAATCCTCCTGCCTCAGTCTCCCAAAGTGCTGGGATTATGGATGTAAGCCACCATGCCTGGCCTATATTTTGTTAATTATAAACCAAAACAATCCAAAATAAGAAACAAAAATCCACTCTAAAATAAAAATAAATATATAAATAAATAATCCTCTCTTACCTAGATACATTAGATCAATTCAAGGAGAATAGTTTTGGGACAGTCTCCCAAACCAAGCACGGTGCCTCTCTAAGGGCTTTTTCCTAACAATCTATAATTTTCCTTCTTTTATCTTTCAGAAAACATCCTTGTGTGTGCTCCAGTAGCCTCCATTCCAGGTCTACGCATGATTATCTGGGTCTATGAATGCCTGGGACTTCATCCTTGTGCTACAAGTCACAATCTCAACAGGACACATACAGAGATAAAATGCTCAACCAGCAACCCAAAGAAAAAACTGAAAGTGAAGTGGCCAGGGCCATGATGTTGCTCTGCTATCCTCTATCACACATCATCAGAAATACCCTCACCTCTGTAGTCCTTGATTCACTCCCAATTTAAAATGTTTCCATGGATTCCCACTGTATTTACATCCAAGACCTACTCCACCACACTCTTTGCTGCACCTTCTACACACTAGAATTCTTCAGTTCCTCAAGAGCACCAGGGCCTTCTGCCTCAGACCTTCAAACATGCCCTTCCTCATTATCTCCCGTTTCCGAATAATTCTCATTCAGCCTTCAGAGCTCAACCCAAAAATCACTTCCTCGAAAAAACCCTCCTGAACACCCCTTCAGATATGCATTGGCACTTTCTTTTTATAACACCACGTATGCAACTAAATACAACTAAATACTTGTTTATCTGGTTGTTTAATGTCTGTCTCCATGGAACACAGCTCTCTGAGGGTATGGACTTTAATGGGGTTTACTGGCTGTTAAATTCCCAGTGCCTGTAGATGCTCAATCAATATTGCCAAATGGATGGGTTTCCCTGTCAGACCCTAAGTCATAATTTCTGTCATGGAAAATAAAGTCAACATTTGTAAACAGACTTCATTTTGGTCACCATTGTATTAATTTCCTATTGCTGCTGTTACAAATTACCATAAACTTAAAAATTACCATAAATTTAACAGCTTACAACAACACAAGTCCAGGCACAGTGGCTCACGCCTATAATCCCAGCACTTTGGGAGGCCAAGGCGGGCAGATCACCTGAGGTCAGGAGTTTGAGACCAGCCTGGCCAACATGGTGAAACCCCATCTCTACTAAAAATACAAAATTAAATCTACTAAAAATACAAAAATTAGCCGGGAGTGGTGGCAGGTGCCTATAATCCCAGCTACTCCAGAGGCTGATGCAGGAGAATTGCTTGACCCCAGGAGCTGGAGGTTGCAGTAAGCCAAGATCACAAGACTCCGTCTCAACAACCAAAAAAAAAAAAAAACATTTTTGCTCTCCTATGTTTCTGGAGATAACAAGTCCAAAATGGGTCTCACTAGGTTATAAGCAAAGTGTCAACAGGGCTGCATTCCTTGTGAAGGCTCTAGAGGTTAATCTGTTCCTTTGCCTTCCCCACCTTCTAGAGGTGGCCCGTATTGCTTGGCTCATGGGCATCGACCATCTTCAAAGCCAGCAATCACATCAATCTGACCTCTGTCTCTACCATCACATCTCCTTCTCTGACTCCAACCCTCTTGCCTCACTCTTCACTTTTAAGGAACCCTGTAATTACATTGGGCTCACTTGTATAATCTAGGATAGTCTCCTCATCTTACAATCTTTAATTAAACCACACCCACAAGATCCTATTGTCATGTAAAATAACATAATCACAGGTTTTGGAGATCCAGATGTCCTCATCTTTAGGGAGATACGCCTGAAAGTGTTTTATTTAATGTGCCTCTTTCCTTACAGGAATCCTAATAACAACAACAATAATAGGAATGATAATCTACTACAATTCTATATCTTAGAGAATCACTATAAAAACTCAAGTACAGGCAAGACAAAGAGTAGCAGCATGAAATAAACTCAATTCACTCTTTTCTTGAAATGATTTCTCAGGTCCTGTACATCTCAGATGATTCACTCAATCCAAAGCAACTGCCTTAATAGCCAAAAAATGGAATGTAGTAAAATGGCACATACAACTAAAGAGGATGGCTTTTCCCTTCAGTGGGTTTTTTTATAAGTTCAAATGGGTAATTGGAGAGCTGGGAATTTAATTCCATTAGATTTTATAAGTTGTATAACAACATCCCAAAAATGCAATTCCATTAGATAAACTATTACTAAAGGCAAAGGTCTTGGCCCACAGTTCTTAACATTTTTTAGACCATGAACCCTGGAATTTCTGGGACATTCAGATGGTTAATGGGAATTGTCTTAGTACATTTTGCATGGTTATAACAGAATATCAGAGACTGGGTAATTTATAATGAACAGAAATTTATTTATCCTGGTTCTGGAGACTGGAAAGTCCAAGATTGAGGGGCCAGCATCTGGTGAGAGCCTTCTTGCTGCATTGTCCAAAGGCAGAAGGGCCGAGAGGATGAGACAAAGAGATCAAAGGGGGAAGGTGAGATAAAGAGACCAAACTCATCCTTTTATAAGAAACTCCTGTGAGAACAGCATTAATCTACACATAAGGACAGTGTCCCCACTAACCAAACACCTCCCATTAGACTACACCTCCCAACATCACCACACTGGGAATCAAGTTTCCAACACATAAATTTAGGGGGACACATTCAAACCATAGCAGGTATTAAGATAGAGTGGTTTCAGTTGGGATACAGACATCATGACAAGTATTAGCAGCAACAGCATTTTTCCCTATAGCCTTGAAACAATCAATGCTTCCCGATCTCTTTAGGGTTTATGGTAGAACAACTGCTTTCACAAAGAGCCTTCCCTGTCCAGAGTCCTTTGGTCTGTACAACCTCTCCCCCTACCCCCAATCCCACTTTTAATTTATTTTTACCTTATGCATACAACAATCATTCAACAACTATCACTGAATACCTACTCAATTCCAAGCTGAAAACTGAGATGTAACAGTAAACAAGATAGGTATGGCCCCTGTCCACATGAAGCTTTCATTTCTACTGAGAACACAAAAGAAATAATTACACAAACAGTTGTAATAGTGATATTTGCTACTTGCCATGTAGAACTCAGAGTGAAGTCACAAAATGAATACACATGGACAAAATGAATACACATGGGCAAGGCAAAATTTGGCCTAGCATTGTAGATAGTTGCCAATGCTTTTTTGAAAAATAAGATTTCACAATAAAATAAGAGTTTTCTTGTACTCTTTTTAAAAATTCATTGGAACTGAGTAGCAGCTGCCCCTTTTTGATAGGGCATATGGTTTCTGGTTTTCCACCATTCTCAACACTCCCTTCTGTCTCCCTGACCGAGTCCAAGTTCCAGACCCCATTTTTCATCCCATTTATGCTGCTATTTTTCCCATAGACCTGCAAAGTCCAATGCAGTAGCCACTAACCACAAATGACTATTTAAATTTAAATTTTACATAATTAAATGTGAAATATAATTAAAAGTTCAGGTCCTTATTTGCACCAGCCACATTTTAAGTACTAATAGCCACATGTGGCTAGCGGCTACCATAATGGATCAGGCAGATATAGAGCACTTCCATCATCACAGAAAGTTCTGCTGTCAACAATCCCTTTCATTTTTTACATCATTCACTTGAATCCTACAGACATATCAGTTTGAAAGCCCTGGTAAATAACAATATAAAATTATTTAAGTGGGAGGATCAAATTGGATCTGGGAATTCAAAGAACACTCTCCTGTGGAAGTGACCAGAAAGGTGGGATCTGAAAGATGTGATAATCTTAGTTGATTGACAGTAGTTGGGGAAAAAGTTATTCAGGCAACAAAAACAATGTACAAGGGAACTTACAGTGGAAATTTTGCTTATAGAAATATTTCCTGATGATCTTAGCTCACTTCATCTCTCCTTATTAAAAAAAAATTAAATCCTTGGTCAGCACATAGCTGAGCAATAGAGGGCTGCATATAGATTTGGAGCTTCAAATAACATTTCGATACATTTTTTTTTTCAAGTATCACTTGAGAAACCATATCCACTCGAAGAAAATCAACTTTTTTTCCTCTCCACTTCAGCATGATAGTTTCCGATCCTGAGACCATCCAGGCCCTGAATGTGAAGGCCATCTGCTGAGCAGGCCATTTCCCTGGGACAGCAAGTGCTCTTCTTGAGTGGATTTCACCAAATTGCTTTTCCTTTCTAAAGGAGATTGACTTATTTGTAGAGGAGGGCATCCCATCCTTGGGGCTTTTCGAGAACTTGTATCTTCACAGAAAACGGTGTGCTTTGAGAGTTGTTTCAGATCCTAGGCTGCTGAAGGCCAAGGTTTTGCTAACAGCTTCTCAAGCACTGGGGTCTATTTATTATATTGAGGTATTTTGGGCTCCTTGATGGTAATAATATGAAAGCAGGTCCAATCTATGCACTAAGAGGCACCTTGCTTTTCTACTTCCATAGAACTAACATCTACTAAGTGACAAACTATTTCCAAGGCTTCACTAGTTTTGCTGGGAATAGAGAGAAAACAGATACCTGAGTATTGCCCTAAAAAATTCACAGCTTAGAGGTAAAGCCAACATAAGCACAATTCCTCCAATCGATGCAAAAATAGACATACGTAACAAGTGTTGAATGAACAACCAACACGAATGTTGGTAAAAACATCAGGTCCAGCCAACATGAAATTACAGAAGACCATCTCTCATACAGTTCCTCCACTGACCTCTCGCAGGACATCCAGCTGCAGAATTTGAGGCAAAAACAGACCCAACTTGCCACTTTTCAGCCTAAGCCCTTCTGCCCACTCTCCTCTCTCAGATCCTTTAGACCAATAAGATTTAAGATTTTACTTCCATTCACAGACTCCCCAACCCACAAAATACCTGCCTGCCTGTGCCTAAGGCTGCATTTTATACTTCATTAACCTAGTATTTTTCCAGCATCAGTGGAGATCTCCATCATGCCACCAGATGACGGCGTCACCCTTCCTGGACTCCACATGTGTTTACTGCAAGAAGAAACTAAAATCTTCCATACTCAAGCCCTTCCAGTTGGCCTAATAGTTGCTTATACTTTCATCTTTACTATGAAGCAACTCTGTTAAAAAAATTATTTTTCAGGTGCCACCATGGATATATCCACCCTTTGATCAGGGAGAAAAGCATATGTGAAATTGAGAAAGGACACGTTTTCCTTTTCCTGGGCAGGTTTTGGGGATGTCAGTCACTGTAAAAATCTTTTCTTGGGAATGCCGTCCACATCTGCAAACTGTTCCTGCAAGGTCTATGTAGAAATGCATTTAAGAACATAGTTTTTCTTAAGCAATCCTCTCTGGAAAACACCAACCTGGCCTCCTCAGCTGAACTATAAAGTCACATTGCTTTCTTTTTTTTTCTATGACAGGACAGAAGGAAGTGATTCACACACCTGAATTCCCTAAGAAACAGACATTTTCACACAGGAAGGTGTTTTGATAGCTTTTCTTTCTTTGGAAGTCACGACGTACATGTGAGTTTTAAGGGTTCCTTATTCAGCAGGGAAAGAAAACCTAAGATGGGATGATAACAATGTGAATTATACCCTATTTAAATGATTTCTGCCTTTCTATTTTTTCCTTTTTTTTTTTTTTGCACTTTATCAGAAGCAAGCATGATTCAAATTATAATATTGGCAGAACAAATTTGTAGTTTCTAAAGAAGATATTGTCACATCTGCACCACTATTGAGCTGCATAATGTTGCCCAAGCTCCTCAATCTCTCTTAGACCTAGGCCAGAGGGACTCTTGTCCTGGGCCATGGACTTTAGAGGGCACATGACAAACCCCAAAATGCAGGGTTTTTTCTTTTCAATCTTAAATAGAAGTTTTGTTTGTTTTCTTAATTTAATAACTGACTAAGCCAATGGGAGGGACTCACCTGAACTTGGACTCCAGACCGGAGGGTGCTGAACTGAGAGCCCATGAGAGAATGAACCACAGCCTCTGTCCTTGGAAACCAAGACGAAATAGGTGTTTAGTGTTGAAGTAGACAGGATCCCCCAGATAACTCTGTTGTCTCCCTTCTCCTTGTTCAGAGGATGTAATCTGAGAGGCACTTAGAACCCCTGGAAGGCCTGAGTCAGACAAGTGGGGCCTGGAAGTGAAGAATCTGCCTTACTTGCCTCCCTGGGGAGCTTGAGCAGGTCATTACCACCTGCTCAGGTTTGGTGAGCCCAGGAGTCTTGGGCGTGGTTCCAACTCCCACCTAGCCCTGCCCCAGCAGATCAGTGCTGCCACACAGCCTCTTTAGTCTGCAGGGCTGGCCCAGGGGAGACTGAAGCTCCAGGCAGAGGGCTGCAGGGCCCAGGAGAGAAGGCAGGCATAGCTTAATTGGACCATTGGCATACTTAGATATTTGGTCTGCGGGTCTCTGTTAGCACTTCTCCAGGCCCCAGCAATGCTAGAGCAACTTGCTTCTAGTTCCTTCTCTAAAAATAACAGGACTCAATTAAATTGCTCTACAGTTTGGACCTGCTCTACAAAATCATTATATTTTCATTTAAGTACCTTAAGATAAAGTGACATAAAAATTGCAATTCAAGATGTCAGAAAAAAATAATAAACTAAAATTTATTTTTCCAGAGTTATTTCAAGAAGAAAGCTTTAAATGAATTACAGCTTCTGGCTTGCCCTTTCCTACCTCTCAGGTTGCATGCCCTATAAAAAGGATGTCATTAAGTAAAACTATGGTTTGAAATGCATAAGGATCCGCACACATAAAATACCACAAATACTACACTGTAAAATTCTCCATGTGGCATAAGAATCACAGTTTATCACACTCTAATGATCAACTGGCAATTAATCCTTAACCACCTCCCAGCACTGAAGATCCTTTCTAAAATATACAAAGGGAAAAAATTATGAAGAGATTACCCTAAGACTCAGCATCCAAACAATAACTTTATAAAGAATAAACGAGCCAGGCATGGTGGCTCATGCCTGTAATCCTAGCACTTTCGGAGGCCGAGGCGGGCAGGTTGCCTGAGCTCAGGAGTTTGCGACCAGCGTGGGCAACATGGTGAAACCCTGTCACAAAAAATTAGCCAGGCATGGTGGCATGCGCCTGTTGTCCCAGCTACTCTGGAGGCTAAGGCAGGAGAATTGCTTGAACCCAGGTGGCAGAGGTTGCAGTGGGCCGAGATCCCACCACTGCACTCCAGCCTGGGCGACAGAGTGAGTCTCTGTCTGAAAAAATAAAATAAAATAAAAAGAAGATAAAAAGAATAAACGAAAGCCATGCTAAAAGCAGATAAAGACTAGAAACACTGAGAAGTATTTACTATTATTACTTGGGAGCATTAACTTAGAAGTACCTAGAGATGTCAACTGTGAAATACTAATCTGAGTTTTAATTTTTCTCATTTTTATACTAATTACAAAGACAGATGTGCTTACTACGCGCACTGCTTAAACAAGTATAGTAAAAGAAACAGCTTTCCCCCTTCTGATCGGAGGCATAAATAATATTTCTGTAGTATGTTCTATTCCCATATATCACAGAACTGGCTGAAATGTATCTCTGGCTTCCATAAATCATAAGTACAGTTAAGCAGAACCTCCTCCTCCAATGTAGAAAACAAACATAGAGCAATGAAATCTAGAGTTACACAATATTTGAGTGTGAGTTTCTTCATAGTCCATTTTAATTGATTTATACAGACAGGAAAGAGGGGGAACATTAAACCTTTTACAAACCTTCCCGAGTTTGCCTAATTAGGCCAGTCCTGCATAAAGAGCTTCATAGTTTTGGAAAATCCAAGAGCAATGAAATAAAAATGAGATAAATTAGGGGAAAACACACATATTCTAACACCTGTTCTTAAATCCTGTGCTTCTAACAAAGGGAAAGTTATAAGTAATGGACACGAAGAACAATGACCAGCTTCTTCACCAGGCCACAGAATTGTATCTCTGAAATTTCAATCCACATTTTACCTTTAAGAAGGAAATCTGTGAAACAAGCCAAAACCATCAAAAGTGTACATGAAAAGTCATGCTTGATGGGAGAAGTTTATTTAACAGAACATTAACTGAGATGTGTAAAATAACTAATCTCAGTCAGGACTGAAGATAGTAATTTTTTAAAAAAGCATTTTCAATTTTTGTTTAAAAATGTGCTCAGAATCTTCATGTCTAGTAAGTTGCTGAGTAAATGTAAATGTAAAAACTAAAATACCTAAAGTAAATGACCCTGTTTAAAAAAATATTTAAGGCAGTGCTAAATCATCTACCATATTTCTTCTGAATTTAAGACACCAACAATTATAAGAAGCATCTTAATTTATACCCACAGAGAAAAGAAAATCTTGTAATAGCACCACCAACTGTGAGATGCAGTCCAATTTCAGAGACACAAAAATATGCTTAAAAATGAGTCATTTAAATATGGAAAACATATCCAGCTATTAAACTTGAAAAAGCTAGAATAAACATTTGTGTAAAACGACCACTTAGCAAATACTTGTAGAATAAATGGAAAAACGAATGACTTTACAAACAACTTTCTTTTTAAAATTTTTTTATATATTCAGGGGTACATGTGCAGGTTGGTTACGTGGATATATCGTGTGATGCTGAGGTTTGGGTTTCCATTGTACCCATCACACAAATTGTGAACTCTATATCCAATAGGTAATTTTTCAGTCCTCACTCTCCTTTCCTCTCCCCCATTTTGGAGTCCCTAGTGTCTACTGTTACCCTCTGAATGTGTACATATACCCATTGTTTAGCTCCCACTTACAATTAAGAGATCACACAATATTTGATTTTCTGTTTCTGAGTTACTTCACTTAGGATAATGGCATCCAGCTCCATCCATATTGCTGTGAAAGACATGAAAAGGACTGATATCCAGAATCTACAAAGAACTCAACTCAACAAGAAAAAACAAAAACCCCATTAAAGAGTGGGAAAAGGACCTGAACAGACATTTCTCAAAAGAAGACGCACAAGCAGCTAACAAACACATGAAAAAAATGCTCAACATCACTAATTATCAGAGAAATGCAAATTAAAACCACAACAAGATATCATCTCACACCAGTCAGAATAGCTATCATTAAAAAGTCAAAAAACAACAGATGTCAGTGAGGCTGTGGAGAAAAGGTACGCCTTATACACTGTTGGTAGGAATGTAAATTTATAACAGCTCTATGGAAAACAGTGCGGAGATTTCTCAAAGAACTAAAAATAAAACTACCATTCAACCCAGCAAATCTACTACAGAATATCAACCCAAACAAACAACTTTCTTGATAGAAAATTGGAATAAGGAAAATTTCTGTATATATGATCATAGAGATAAGATCATAGATCATAGAGCTATACATATGATCATAGAAACAGATAGTTCCCCCTTCACCGAGTCTTTCCCTTACTACTTTGGACCACCTTTCTCTTCCATCTCAGAGTTCCTACAAATGTTGGCATAAAAAAGCACACACTCTAACACTAGTTTTACATGCAAACACATATCCACATACATACACACTCACCTACATGCTAGAGCAGGGGTCAACTAATGATGACATATGGGTTAAATGCCAGCTGCCAGTTTTGTAAATAAAGCTGTATTTGAACAAATTCATGCTCACTTGTTTATGTATTTTCTATGGCTGCTGTTTCCATGCTACAATGGCAGCATTAAATAATTACAAGAGACAGAATGGCCCTCAAAGCCTGCAGTATTTATCATCTGGCCGTTTAAGAAAAAGTTTGCTGAACAATTCACAATTGCAAAAATATGGAACCAACCTAAATGCCCATCAACCAACAAATGGATAAAGAAAATGTGGTATATGCACACCATGGAATACTACTCAGCCATAAAACGGAACAAAATAATGGCCTTTGCAGCAACTTGGATGGAGGCCATTTTTCTAAGTGAAGTAACTCAGGAATGGAAAACCAAATACCAAATGTTCTCATTTATAAGTGGGAGGTAAGCTATGAGGACATACAAGCATAAGAATGATATAATGGACTTTGGGGACTTGGGGAAGGATGGAAGGCGGAAGAGATAAAAGACTACATATTGGGTACAGTGTACACTGCTCAGGTGACGGGTATACCAAAATCTCAGAAATCACCACTGAAGGACTTATCCATATAACCAAAAACCACCTGTTCCCCCAAAACTATTGAAATTAAATTTAAATAAATAATAAATAAATAAAGTACATGACAGCAGCAATTTAGAAAGTGCATAATTTATTACATTTATAAGCTCATAACAAAATGAATACTTAGGAACTTTTAAAATGAATTTGAAGTAACAATTAGATGTAAAATTCTCAAAGCTTGGAACCTGAAATATTAAATTCTAGAATTTCTTAAAAACTTCTTCTTATGTAAGAGAAACTTGCATAGTTTGAAAATTATTATGTTCTTCCAAGGAAAAAAAGGAGGAATTAAAAAAAAGAAACAAAGAAAGAAAAAGTTTGCTGAGCTATGCAAGAAAATATAAGACCCTAGAGCACAGAGGCCATGTTGTAGGCTGGTCTTACTCTCCCAGCAGCACCTGGCACCAAGTAAAAAGCAGTTAATGTATGCTTATTGGTAGATTTTACTGACCTAAAAGTAGGATATCTCTAAATGTAGCTGAAAAGTCTTCTGATATACATACGTTTCACACTTGCCCTTATTCAGGCTAATTTCCACTTCTAGAGGAAGCTCTTTACCCTCCATTTTACCCTTCTTTTTGTAAGTTAATATTTAGTACCTAAATTAATCCCACACTAGCTGTATGACTAATACAGAGAGTACTCCATGTATACCCTGATTAAGTTCACTGGACAGATGCTTTGAGGGCCATCAGTTGCCTTTCACACCAAGAACAATATATAACAAAGAAGCTTTTACCACCTAGCAGTAATTTCAAGGCATCAGTCATTTCCCAGACATCTGTTGGGCATGTTCTCTGGGCTACTCTAGATAAAGGGCTACCAAGAAGAATTAGACACAGCCTCCACCTTCAAGGAGCTGAGAGTGTTCTTAGACTTAATCTCTTTAGACTCATTTCAAAGTGAACACAGAGTAAATCGCATGACAGCAAAGAGGACCTCAAGCTGCTGACAAGGGAAAAAGATCCGCTGAATTATTCCATCAGGACTTGGGTGTTTCCTGTGTTCAGAGGTCCTGGGGCAATAGAAGGATGTACAGTCACGGCTCCTTACCTGAAGCCATATACAGGACAGGGACAAGGACAATGTTGTGTCATAAAAAAGAGCAAATGGAAGAAGAACACAGTCCTTTGGATCCCTGAAGAAAAAGAGATTAATTGTGACAGGATCAGAGTTGAAGAGGAGGTAAGAGAAGACCTGTGAAGGAGGTTTTTAAATATATTTTAAACAAGAAGATGAATTTCAACAGAAAATCATTTGGGATGAGGGAAGAATAAAGGCACAAAGATAGACAGGTGCAGTGCCTGGCTGTATTGTCCATGCTCTATAAGGGGAGCTATTGTCATACAGTCACCAAATGTTTATTGAGTGCCTATTCTGTGCTAAGTGATGTATCTGAGAGCGAGGCAAGTTCCCTTTAGAGGCAGAAAAAAACTACTTCCCAGGTGAGTTTATATTGTCATCCTTCTGATGTAAAGAAAGCACAGTGTGGGTGAGGAACATGGTGGAAGACAAGGCTCAACAGGTAGGCAGGGATCCAACTGTGAAACGCCTGGGATGCCTCGCCAAAGAGGTTGGATTCTACTGTAAAGATACTTATAATATTTTACATATTATATATTAAATATAGATACAGTCATGCACCACATAATGATGTTTTGGTCAACAAGGAACACCACACTATATACAATGGTGTTCCCATAAAATTATAATGGAGCTAAAACTTCCTGTCACCGTGACATCATCGCCTTCGTGAAACAGCAGCACGAGGCATTACTCATGTTTGTGGTGCTGCTGGTGCAAACAAACCTACTGCACTGCCAGTTGTATAAGAGTATAACACATGCAATTATATACATATTATTTAGCAATGATAATAAATGACTATGTTACTGGTTTATCTATTTACTATATTATACTTTTTATCTTGATTTTGGAGTGTGCTCCTTCAATGTAAATTTTTTAAAATTTAACTGTAAAACAGCCTCAGGCAGGTCCCTCAGGAAGTATCCAGAAGAAGGCATTGACATCATAGGAGATGACAGCTCCATGCGTGTTACTGCCCCTGAAGACCTTCCAGTGGGATCATCAACATCAACAGTGATGTTGATGATCCTGATCATGTGCAGGCCTGGACTAATGTGTGTGTTTGTGTTTTAGTTTTTAACAAAAAAGTTAAAACAGTAAAAAAAATTAACAGAAAAAAGTTCATAAAGTAAGAATATAAGGAAAATATTTGTATAGCTTTATAAAATGTAAAAATTTACAGTAAGCTAAAAAAGTTTAATAAATTTAGTATAACCTAAGTGTACAGTGTTTGTAAAGTCTACAGTAATATACAGTAGTGTCCTAGGCCTTCACATTCACTCACCACTCACTCACTGACTCACCCAGAGCAACTTCCAGTCCTGTAAACTCCATTCATGGTAGGTGGCCTACATGGTTCTCCTACCTTCTCTCTTTCATACCACATTTTTGCTGTACCTTTTCTACGTTTAGATATGTTTACAGATACCATTGTGTTACAGTTGCCTGCAGTATTCAGTACAGTCGCTTGCTGTACAGGTTTGTAGCCTAGAAGCATATCACATAGGTTTGTAGCATATTGCATAGCTGTATAGTAGACTATACCACATAGGTTTGTGTAAGTATACTCTATGGACATTCACATGACAAAATCACCTAATGTCACATTTCTCAGAACATTGCCCCATCATTGATATAGTACTGTATTATAAATTAAATATATATATATTTAATATAATATAAATTCTGCTCACATTTTAGGGCACTAAGGATCATTGTAACACTGGTCTTCAAAACCAAGCGCATTTACAGCAAAGAACAGAACATAATATGAATTCAACTCACTATGAGACGTATTACCACTCATCCTCAAATGTTTGAACTTGATCATTTTGGGAAATACAGAAGGGGCCCAGTATATGTCAGTACAGCAGGCAATGTGCTCCTTGTATTGCTAGCTATGGATTAGAGATCATTTCCAAATGACCCAAACTTAATATTCTATACAATTTGCCAGACGTATGTATGTGTGTGTGTGTGGTATGTTGTGTGTGTGTGTGTGTGTGTGTGTTAATAGATATACACTCTTAGTCATATGATTATTATTTTTTTTTTTGAGACAGAGTCTTGCTCTGTCACCCAGGCTGGAGTGCACTGCAATCTCCGCCTCCTGGGTTCAAGCAATTCTCCTGCCTCAGCCTCCCCAGTAGCTGGGATTACAGGTGCATGCCACCATGCCAGGCTAATTTTTGTATTTTTAGTGGAGATGGGGTTTCGCCATGTTGGTCAGGCTGGTCTAGAACTCCTGACCAGTGATCCACCCAACTCGGCCTCCTAAAGTGCTGGGATTACAGGTGTGAGCCACCACTCCCGGCCCTTAGTTGTATTTTAAAAGCAACAAAATTTCCTTCCCTACCTGAATGCTCCTTTATGAGATAGCTCCAGACATGGCAGTAGATACATACCTTTTAGCAGCTTAATCCCCAAATAAAGGGGATTTTTCATGGCTTTTTCAAGATTAGTCCACCAGCTTTTATGTCCTAAAGTGGCCTATTTCCTAAAAGCGACTTCTTTTATCCTTCCTTAGTGATATTTCTTCCCTAATCATCAGTTTTTCCTCAGATTCTTTAAAAAAAAAAAAAAAAAAAAAACTCATCTTCATGAATTGTCATCCCATAATATGCCAGGGTGATTTAATATTTCAGCTTTTCTTGGCTAATTTATCTTGACTTGACTGTGTTTATTAGGCTCTAAATAAGGATTTCCCAACCTCGACATCATTGACATTAGAGACCAGATAACCGTGTTGTCGAGGGGCCTGCCCTGTGCATTGTAGGATGTTTAGCAGCATCCCTGGCCTCCACCCACAAGCTGCCAGCAGTGCCCCTTCCCACACACACATCCACCTTGTGACAATCAAAACTGTCTCCAGTCATTGCCACATCTCCTGTGGGGGGCACAATCTTCCCCTGTTGACAACCACTGTTCTAAACTTTTTAGTTTCATTTTATTATAATAATAATAAAAGATAACACATATTGAGGTTTACAGTTAGCCATCCACTATTCCAATCATGTTTCCAGATTAACTCAATCCTCACAATGACCCCCATTTTAAAGATGAAGAAATACTCAGACAAGATAAGTGTCTTGTCTAAGGCCACGCTGCTGCTAAGTGGCAGAATGATGTCTTGAACCCGATTCCACTGATGTCAGACCCTTAGCTCTTAACTACTAGACCATTTGGCTTTTCTGAAATTGTTCAAAGTCAACACCAGTAGAACAGGTACAGGCTTTCTCTTTGTCTTCCCTACTTAGTGTCCTGAAGCCATCCAGAAAACCCAGCACACATTTGAGGATTTATCATTTGTATAGCAGGAATTCTCGCATCTTCGCAGAAGTCAAATTCAACTATCTAACAACTGGTGTGGCTCGGCATGGATGGATCCCATGGATGTGGATCATAAACAATCCATATGAGTATGACCAGCCATCTGGTGCCTACAGGATGAATGGAACTCTGCATTTTCCTCAACTAAAGTTTTATTTTGCCCAAGCAGTCACTGCCTTGGGTATGCATTCATAGAGTACCTGCAGGGTGCAGAGAACTAAAAACTGGTGTGGACACTTTAAAAAGTAAGAGATGAGATTCTGCTTTCCAAAATTTCAAATCCCATTAGTAGGACAAAACACCCAGCTACAACATGACATTAAGAAGACTTACAGTGCATCACACAGCAAACATTAATTTCAACTAAGCGGGGGGTGGGGATCCCAACTCTTATGCAATTAAAAGTTAGAATTATAGAATATTTTTCTTAGAAACAACTTTTTAAAAGCAAGTGATCAATCAGGCTAATAATATGTTATGAATATGCACACCTAAGAAGCATATTTAATAAATCTAAAAATGACCTGAAGTTCTCCTATCAATTTGTTTATAATGAATAGTTTTCTATTATGCTTGAAAGTAATTTGTGCTCTTTAATGATAAAAACATTTCCCTTCTGCTTCAGTGTAATCTATTAATTTGCTTAGTAAATGCTTTGCAAAGGCAAACTTTTGCCCAGTCCATACAAACTGGTGCAAATTTTAAATGGTTGGGTTATGTAATAATTATGCTTTCATTAGAGAAATAGTCTTTCTTACAACTATTGAAGACTGACCAAGAATAAAGTGGTGGGTGGGAAGTAACTTCTCAGATGGTTCTAATGAGCCCCTGAGCTGAAAACAACTGGGTAAAGGAATGTCGGTGCATAAGGGAAATGAGGAATGGCTAGGCGCACCGTGGTACAGACTGCAAGCTCCTGGACCCCTGAGTTAATCAGCTCTTCTACCAGCTCCTGCTCTATGACCTTCAGCAAGTTATTTCCTCCCACTGATCTTTAGATTCTTCCTTTGCAAAATGGATTTGTTCAGTGGAACAAATGAGAAAACTCATGTAAAGAGTTTAACATGCTATCTGAAACACAGGACATGCCCAATACCTTTTAATAATAATTGCAGGCATTCCACATGAGGTGACTTTTGAGTTAAGTCTTGGTCTTGATGGTGAAAGTAAACCTATCTTCCTCTAATAATTCTTGTAATTTTTTCATTCCTACCAATTCTTTTCCTTAGTTTGTTGGTTTATTTTTTGTTTTAGAGACAGAGTCTTGCTCCGTTGCCTAGGCTAGAGTTCAGTGACACAATCATAGTTCATTGTAACCTGGAATTCCTGGGCTCAAGAGATCCTCCCACCTCCTCAGCCTCCCGAATACCTAGGACTAAAAGCATGCACCACCATGCCCAGGTAATTTAAAAAATTTTTTTTACAGACAGAGTCTCGCTATATTGCCCAGACTGGTCTTGAACTCCTGGCCTCAAGCAATTCTCCTGCCTCGGCCTCCCAAACTGCTAGGATTACAGGTGTGAGTCACTGTGCCTGGCCCTACTACCAATTATTTTCTTTTAAAAATGGGATTTAGCCACAAAATGTATTGATATGCTGCACGGTCTTCCTATTTATAATCAACATTCAAGATCGAATTTTCCATTTGCTCCTCAGTTATCCCAAATCAAACTGATTTGTTACTCTTTATCTCCTGAATCCTTGAGCTCCCTACTCTGCTTTCAATAGCGTCCCATCCTTGCCAACAATTATGCAAACATTTGCACCACCTCAAATGGCTAAGGCAAAGACATATTTGCTTCTACATGCTTCTTTCCAATAACTAATTCTGTAAACACAATAAAGTACATTCCAGGCAGTGCTGAATTTTTTACAGTATTAGTTATAAACCCCTAAAATAATTTATAATGGAAATTCTGAGATATTCTTCACTACAGAGGATATTGGTCCTAGACCCAGCAACAAAACACGTGTTCACAGGCACACACAACTGTATGTATGCAATACACGTACACAGAAAAGAGTTCTGTTCACTTAACCCAAATTTATTCAGAACAGTTTATGTTATTTATTTTCATGAGTTTTAGACAAGATCTTTTTTAGCACATTACAGAGGCCTGGAGGGGCTTTCTGCATAAAAGACAAAGCCAAGCACTGTTAATGCAAAGTATAGTAACTCAGTGTTTTGAGAAACATGGCCAAATGTATTTGAACATGAGGCCATCAGGCCAAGAAATCTTGGTGTCTAGAGCTGAGAGCAAAATTGGCAGTTGGGTTCTTATTATCAGGAGAATTTCTTGCTACATTGTGGCCACTCAGCTTAGCCCACCTCAACCTTACAAGGATGCATATGCATGTTTTGAAAACATTTAAGATGCAAATATTTCATATCATACATATGCTGGTAAAACATGAGGCATGAGAGACCTGTTTGCAGTCCTTGCTGGGCCACTTACAAAGAATGTGACATTAATTCACCTTTTTTTTTTGAGACAGAGTCTCGCTCTGTCATCCAGGCTGGAGTGCAGTGGTGCAATCTCAGCTCACTGCAAGCTCCGCCTCCCGGGTTCACGCCATTCTCCTGCCTCAGCCTCCCGAGTAGCTGTGACTACAGGCGCCCGCCACCACGCCCAGCTAATTTTTTTGTATTTTTAGTAGAGACGGGGTTTCACTGTGTTAGCCAGGATGGTCTCGATCTCCTGACCTTGTGATCTGCCAGCCTCGGCCTCCCAAAGTGCTGGGATTACAGGCGTGAACCACCGTGCCCGGCCTAATTCACCTGTTTAACCTTTCTAACCCTCAGTTTCTTCATCTGAAAATGTCATAGCAATAGCATCTACACACTACAGGTTGCTGTGAGAATTAAATGAGCTAATACATGTAAAATGCTAGGCACAATGCCTGCAACAGTAAGTGCTCAATATGTATTAACTAAGATTAGTATCCATTTTATCTGACATTTCCATTATAAACCACACTCACAAAATCTGCATCAAATTTCTTTTTTTTTTTTTTTTTTTTGAGACGGAGTCTTACTCTGTCACCCAGGCTGGAGTGCAGTGGCACAATATCGGCTCACCACAACCTCCACCTCCCGGGTTCAAGCGATTCTCCTGCCTCAGCCTCCTGAGTAGCTGGGATTACAGGCGCCCGCCACCACACCCGGCTAATTTTTGTATATTTAGTAGAGACGGGGTTTCGCCATTTGGGCCAGGCTGGTCTTGAACTCCTGACCTTGTGATCCACCTGCCTCCGCCTCCCAAAGTGCTGGGATTACAGGCGTGAGCCACCACGCCCGGCCATCAAATTTCTTAAATGGATATTCTTACACAGTAAGAGTGCACCCACAAATGGTTTTGCACCATACCACCCAAAAATCTAAAGTCCAAAGATAAACTAAAAACTAGGGCCCATGCCATGCTGTATATTATGGAGGAAAAAGCAAAGAAAAATCTCCCACAACATGAGGCAAGAGACAGGAGTAGATCAGATCATCACACTAAGAAAACTGCTATTCAAACAGCTTACCTTTAGGAAGTATGAGAATTTTAATGTCCTTGGAGTGCTATTTGGGGTTCAGGAAGAATCTTTTCCTGGAATAAGATCTAAGAGGGCTTACAAATATTTCACCTTCAAAATGTAGCATTGAAAGAGCAAGATGACACGCTCGCTTCAGCAGTACGTACACCAAAACTGGAACAGAAGAGCAAGCTGAGGCGCTTGTTCCAGAGTTTGGCTTCTCACCCACTCCACATACGCACACATATTCAGGTAATTCAGGAAGCACTTCAGGAAGCCCCCTCATTATATATTTTAAAAGCTCCCTTTCCATCAATAAAAAGGCATACATTTCTAATAGGTAAACATCCGTCAGTTGAACAAACCTGAAGCATGACTATACCTAAGTAAAGTTGCCTTCATTTTCTAAAACTCCTGGGCACACTTAAATGGATGTGTGAAATTCCATGAACTCCAAGTATGGGACGGGGATCACTAAGGTGCTTTAACCTTATAACAGTGAGACCCAGTGAAAGATGGACTAACTGATGAACCCGCAAACCAGCAAAATCTTAATGCCTAATAGCAAACTATGTTGAATAAAGAGCCAATCAAAAATTTACTAGAACATGAAGGAGACTTTAAGAGACCACTTAACACAGGCTGCCTGGAGAGTGAGACCTTCTGAAGGTGCACTGCCATCTAAACACGATAATATTGCAGGGATCCCAAACAAAGTTATACACATGTAAGGGCTGAAGACATTTCTCACCCACCATAGAAACTAAAGAAGTTTCCCAACTGCCACCAGAAACTACAGAAAGTTCCCAACAGCCTCACAATCCAACCTTTCAAGTTGATCAACAGAACAACCCAAATGTCCAGTTAAATTCTGTCTGGCTAAACTCTGTAAAATGCAAAAAAGTAAGACATTATCAGTATTGTTCAGTGAGTTTAAAAGAAAAAAAGCTCAAAAAATCATATACTATTTCAATCTTGGCTGGTATTTATCCCTACAGTTGATACAACTGTTTTATTTTAAATGGATTGTAAAATGTTACCAGAATGGCCTTAAAATCAATTTAATAACTGATCTGCACTCTCCTGGTACACAGGAAAAGCAATGTCCAAAAATGTCCAAAGAGAAACCTGGCAAGAAGAAAAAAATAAATCTCATTCAAGGCTGCCATCTAGTGGGCAAATGAGGTGGCTGTAATGTTGCTAAGCAACATTTGGATGGCATATTTAAAACTGTAGAAATTTGGAGCTAAGAAGAAACTTAGTTCAGTGTTTCCCAAAGTATATTTCTTGATAGCAGGATTCTGCCATCAAATGCATTTAACACATGCTAGGTGAAATGCTGTGGAAAATACATCTTAACCATAGGATATCTCACAGCCTTAAATATGTTAACCTATATTGGAAATCTCTAAACGGAGACGTGGCATTCCGCACTTGTATTCAGTCAGGGAAACTCTTTACTTGTAGATGCCTCTGAACTCCTCATAGAGTGCTGGAGTTTCTCAAAACAATGTTTGGGAAATGCTAATCTAATTCAACTCTTGCCTCCATATTTTACACAGGAGGGCCCCAGTAATTGAAGTAACTGGTCCTCAATTGAAGTAATTGAAGTCCTGGTTCTCAGCGCTGCCTTATAGCTGGTCAAGTTCCATGGCAGGTGTGTCTTTGTAACCCGAGGGCTGGGTGAAAGCAGGAGGGAGGCTGTAAGGTGCTCCCCCTTGCTCCTCATCCTTAGCATTAAAATTCTCCTGTGGGAGGTCTGGAGGCTTCATGCTAAGTGCCTATTAGGCTTGGACATCCTATAACAGTTAAAATATTGATTTTAAAACCTAAAATAATACTTTCCTTCCAAGTTCTTATGGTTATTTTTTAATCTGGCTGAAAATTGATCTTAATGTTATAGTTCATCTCTATACGTTTTATTGTTATAGTTTTGTAAAAACACAAATTAAGAGTGTGTGAGAGTTATTTCTGATGCCTCCCATACATGTTCCATCTAAGGTTAAACCTGAAGGACAACCACAATATCTAGCAATGACTGTGGACATCAAAAACCAAAGTATTACGCATAAAATAATAGCTTTAACAGGGGCATGCCTGGCCGGGCACAGTGGCTCATGCCTGTAATCCCAGCACTTTGGGAGGCCGAGGTGGGCAGATTGCCTGAGGTCAGGAGTTTGAGACCAGCCTGGCCAACATGGAGAAACCCCGTCTCTACTAAAAATGCAAAACAATTATCTGGGTGTGGTGGTGCATGCCTGTAGTCTCAGCTACTTAGGAGGCTGAGGCAGGAGAATTGCTTGAATCCAGGAGGCAGAGGTTGTGGTGAGCCAAGGTCGCGCCATTGAACTCCAGCCTGGGCAACAAGAGCAAAACTCTGTCTCAAAAAAAAAAAAAAAAAAAGACATGCCTTACATTTGCCCAACTGAAGAAAATATTACATGGGATGCTAACATTGGAATTACAAAAGCAGCTTCCAGAGATGTTATTACAAACTATCCTGAAAACTTAAATAGATCTTCACTTGGAAATAGATAGAAAACTTTTTAAAAATACAACTGTGGGCATTGTGCTTATGGGCACCCCAGGGAACCTATGGAGACGTCAGCTATGTAGCAACTTTCAGAGTACTTTGTTCAGGTGGTCCTGGCTAAGTGGTCTCAGGTTCCACATCTTCTAGGGACAGCATGAGCCACAGCCAGATCTCCAACTCTCACACCTGTTCCAGTGTTTTTCACTGCTGTACCTTACCAGCTGGTTATTCTAAGAAGGAATCATGTGTTCACAAACTCTGGCTCCAGAGACCATTCCCTTCTCTCAAGACTGAAAAATGTAATAATAATAACTTAATGAAGATTAAAAATAAATACAAGTAATCCCAGCTTGGTACTTTTAAAATAATTTTGATGGCTATATGATATTCTATCACTGCCAGATTCCTATTTAGAAAATTTTAAGTTTTCTCTTATTTAAAAAAGTTTTACCTTATTTAAAAAACTGTTTAAGAAAACTTACTTTTCTTTTTCTAAAAAAGGGAGGAATTGCTCTCAACTTCTTTAGGCACAAAATGTTTTCTCTACTAAAAATCATCTCTAAAGGATATCTTCCAGAAGTGGAGTTACGGAATCAAAAGGTTAGACTCATTTATGTTGACAAGCTTTTTTCCCAAAATAGTTGTCCCAGTTTACACCAAATTTGGAACATTTTAGCCTCAGTTATGAATGGGAGGCTTGAGAGATAACTGTAGGTGTACAGACCACTTGTGGTTCAGTCCAGGTCAAACATGCACAGCAACTGGAAGGCTCTGGAAATGCTCATTTGTTTGCACATCTCTCAGACTTTAAGAAGCCTCTCCCTATATATGAGATACAAATGCTAAAGACTCCCCAGGTCTGTTGTGGTGGCTCTATAATCCCAGCACTTTGAGAGGCCAAGGCTGAGGATAACTTGAGCCCAGGGGTGCGAATCTGCAACGAGTTATAATCGCACCACTGCAATCCAGCCTGGGCTACAGAGGAAGATCTTGTCTCAAAAAAATAAAATAAAAATTTCCCAAACTCAAAGAAAAGCTCTTACTTAGGAATTCAACCTCAAGGTCTTAATAAGAGTTTAATACCTGCATATAGGATTGGTGTTTCAATGGGATTAACAGGGACCAAAATGCAAAGTGGAAACCAGACTAAAGTATTGTCAGTTAGTTTAGATGGATTGGGAGAGGGCTAGCGCCCAAGTTTCAAACCTGGCACAGCTTTGCACCAGAGAGCTGGCTTGTAATTGCTTTATGTCGTCCCCTTTTATTTTCCCCATGGATTGCTGCGGCATGATGGGATGTTGCAAAGTGACTCTAACAGGCAGAGACTAATTTGAAATACTTCCTTGGCTCCTCACATATTCTAAAGCACCCCCCAACAACTATACTCAGCCCAAGAGTTAACAGCATTCCTTAAGAGCCCTTAAACCCCTTTTTTTTTTCACTTTGAAAATGTAAGTTGATGGAATCCTGCTCGTTTACATTCTGTGTATTTTCTGACAGGACCCGCAAGTATTTTCAAAGGCTCCACTCTGAGTTAGAATTAGCACATTAGGGACAGCAGATTCACTGTTAAGGAGGAGGCCCCACCTCTGGCTCATTTTTCTTTCCTTACCTTGCTCAGAACAGGATTCCCCACATACCAACTGGCCAGCTGACACTGTTGCACATTTGCACAATCATTCATTCATTCATTCAAATATTTACTGTGCTCTTATTATGTATGTGTCAAGTCCCGGGCCGGGATCTGAAAGCCCAAAATGAATGTTGAATCAGTAACTCCAGCCTCATTCATCTATCAGTTGTGTCACCTTGGACAAGTAAGCTAATTTTCCTGAGCCTCAGTTTCCTCAACTGTAAAATGTGGGATAACAATAGTCTCTGCCTCACAATATTAAATAATTGTACATACTTCCCAAATTAAGTGTAATAATATACATAAAGAACATTATATCTAACACCTGTTAAATAGTCAAAGAATATAGTTTAGTCACTAATGTGAAAAAAGAAGATAATAATTTAGCTAATTCCGGTGAAAAATTATTGTAGCAATTATTCAAAGACCATGTGCCAAATATAATGTTTTATTTGGTATACAAATATTATATCTCCATAATGAAATTTCAACGTAGTTCACAATTCTTATTTCCATCCCCTAGTGGAGAATAAAGGGACAACGGCCTTAATCTTGACTTAGAAGTAACACAGTTATCATTTGTTCACACCTGTCCCTGAAGACTCTCTCCTTTCTCCATCTTTTCATCTACCTCTAACTTCTTGACACTGGGAAAGTGGCCTCTGGGGCACACTTGTCCTCTATGGATGTGTGAGAATAGCTGGTGCCATCTACATTTAGGTGTTGGCCTCTGGCATCAACTACTTAAGGCTGTAACCCCCACCACGGACTCCAACAAGGTCCACACACTCTTGAGTCCTTCTCATCCCCATCCTGGGCTTCCCTAGTTTTCCAACTGTCTCAGCTCCCTTTGATAGCTCAAGACCCCGCAGCTGCTTTCGCCACACCACACTGGGGCTTGAGTCCTATAAGGCTGTCCTCAGCCACTACCATCTTGACCATGCAAGAGGCCTATTGAATGTGCATCATCTCATCTCCCTGGGCTGCCCTGGGAGGCAAGCTCATTTACCCTGCTTCTCTGGGCTCCTCCTGAGGAATATACAGCCTAGATACTTTCGAGAAATTTCTGGATCTGAGGAGCCCACATCTATTTCCTTCTTCCCTCACCTGGAATGAGGCAGAGTGCAGGGAATCTCTACTCAGGCACCCATCTGCTTTGCAAGTCCAATCACGTCCCCTTGGATCCATCTCTTTCTGCCAGTGGGTTGAATTCTTTCTTTCCTTTGGGTTGGATAAGTGCTCTCCTGCCATTTAGGCATTCTCTACTCTATGGCTTAGACCCTCACTGTTCAAAATGGTCTGCGGACCAGCAGCATGAATGTCGTTGCCTAGGAGCTAATTAGAAATGCAGAATCTCAGGCTCCACCTCAGACCTAATTAACTGAAAGCTGCATTTGACAAGATTCCCAGGTACATGGTAAGCTCATTACAGCTTGAGACACAGCAGGTTAAAGATAAACTCCAAAACAGTTCCCTCAATGTGGATCTTCCTCTACAAGGACAAGAAAAATCATCTCTCTTTCCACAAGGCTAGCTATGGCAAATCAAACGTAACTTGGTGTTCAGACTACTGTAATTTTTTAAACTCTGTCTGAAAGCTTTAAAGTGAGCCATTACCCCTTCCACAGAACGAAAGAATGCCTATGAATTGCCAGGAGGAGACCTGCAGAGACAACTAGGAACAACCAGTACTTACCATGAATGAAAATCACATTGGTTAATATTTCAAAAACATTAACTTGCTAAGTGCTCATTTCCAACAGGTGATTAAAATCACCTTGAAATAAAGTGAGTACTGAATAACAGAGAGTTGGACACAAAATTAAACTAACATGAGCTGACTGTGGCTCTGAAGTTAATAGCTCCTAATGAGAATTATCTCAATATCCAGGTATTTGAGACAGATTTATTTTCTCTCCTTAACATGTCGAGAGAGTTTGCTCTTGATTTCCAGGAAAACTTCATAATTTATCTTTTCTTTTGTTGTAACCAGTGACTTAATTTCCAGGAATTTTTTTTTTTTTATGGGAGGCAGCCTGATGTAACAGAAAGACTGGACCATGATACGGTTTAGCTTTGTGTCCCCACACAAATCTCATCTTGAATTCTAATTCCCACATGTCGAGGGAGGGACCTGTAATCCCCATGTGTTGAGGGAAGGAAGTGATTGAATCATGTGGGCAATTTCCCCCATGTGGTTTTCATGATAGTGAATGAGTTCTCATGAGATCTGATGGTTTTATAAGTGTTTGGAGGTTCCTCCTTCACTTTTCTCTCTCTCCTGCCGCCTTGTGAATAAGGTGCCTGCTTCCCCTTCTACCATGATTATAGGTTTCCTGAGGCCTCCCCAGCCATGCAGAACTGTGAGTCAATTAAACCTCTTTCCTTTATAAATTACCCAGTCTCAGGCATCTCTTTATATCCATGTAAAAATGGACTAATACAGGCCATATGTTTAAATACTTACTTTTGTGACCTTGAAAAGAATTAACCAGCTTCCATATCTTTTAAATGGGGGTAATAATTCTACCTCAGAGGGTCACCATGAGGATTAAATGAGATAATGTATGTAAAACCACTGGAATGAAACAAGTGCTACCCACCCCCAATCTCTTCTAGGTTTTCGATTCCAGGTGATCTTCCGGACACCTCCAGATGACTTTCATCTATATATATCTAAAATTGTGCTTGGTTCAACAATAAATCCCATCCTCTCTGATTTAAAATACTGAAAATTCATTTCCAAACATATGTTCCAAGTTTCTGCCCTAGTAAAGTGGCAAAATATTTCAATTCTTTTGGTTTATAATACACATTAATGCATCATGGTTACAGTCTTCATCAGGGATGGCAAGCTTGAGAACCACCTGCAGTTCAGGCAATTTAACTTACGTCAAACCAAACAGCCTCATCCTTATCTGCCCAATGCTAAGGCTCCATTTCCCACCCTGAATAACTCTAGCAGCTCATATTTCACTGAAGTTACAAAAACAGCAATACTTGAGGAATTTACCAAGCAAAAGGCCATTTTCCATGGCATCACGTTCAAGGCCAAATTAATGTGTTGATGCTTTCACAATTAGGACAAATATAGAGGATTTGGCACATTTTGCTTTTCGGCCATTGCCTTGCATGTATGACATTCACTCCATTAGTCAACTCCAGTCATATTTTCTTTTTTTAAATCTGATTCTAGCACAGAATGAAGTTTATCATCTTTGTCTACAAAAAAGGGGAAATGGACTGCCAGAGATGTAAAAGCAATTCCCAGCATGTTAGTAATTACAGAGGTTTATCCTGGCTTAAAAATTCTCATCAAGGATTTTTTATTTTTTAGGTTGGAGACATCATGTCACAGTACCAGCCACTTCAGTTCACAATGGAGATAATTAGACATATTCAGGGTGACCTTCTCTCTCTTCTGAATGCGTCCCTGTGCTTTCAGACCGGCAGCTTATACACAATTTTTTAAGTAGGATAATCCTTTCATTCTTCATATCAAGTCATGCACAGAAGCCTGAGAGCAAAAAGGGCAGCCAAACTCCTCTGGATGCAGCAGGACTAGGGGGCCAGATGCCCTGCCCTGCTGGGTCTCACCTCACAGCAGATCCTAGACTCTAGGACCCTGCAGTGCACCTTTAAAACTCACTGACCAAGATGATCTAGACTAGGGATTGGTAAATTCTTTCTGTAAAGGGCCAGATAATAAATATTTTCAGCTTTGAAGGCCATACAGTCTCTGTCACAGCTACTCAGCTCTCTTGCTATAGCCTGAATGCAGCCAGAGACAATGTGTGAACAAATGGGTGTGCTAGTCCTCCAATAAAATATGTACTGGCCGGGCGCGGTGGCTCACGCCTGTAATCCCAGCACTTTGGGAGGTGGAGGCGGGCGGATCACGAGGTCAGGAGATTGAGACCATCCTGTGAATGGTGAAACCCCGTCTCTACTAAAAATACAAAAAATTAGCCGGGCGTGGTGGTGGGCCCCTGTAGTCCCAGCTACTCGGGAGGCTGAGGTAGGAGAATGGCGTGAACCCGGGAGGCGGAGCTTGTAGTGAGCCAAGATCGCGCCACTGCACTCCAGCCTGGGCAACACAGCGAGACTCCGTCTCAAGAAAACAAAACAAACAAACAAACAAAAAACTTTATGTACTAAACCAGGGAGCTGGCTGGATTTGGCCCATGGGCTGTAGTTTGCCAACCCTGATATAAACTGGAAATGTACCTTTGTTCACGTGATATTCGAGATGGAGAAGCAGCATGTATCATAGAGAGTGCCCCAAACTCCACTTTGTACAACTTAAACTTTGATTTATTTTCATTTTACCCCTAAAATTTACCAAAGTAGTTAATATAGGAAAATTGTATCTCTTTCATTCACCAGGTAGCTGCTTTGAACCTTAAAACTATGTTTTTCTTTTAATTAATTAATTAATTTTTTTTTTTTTTGAGACTGAGTTTTGCTCTTGTTGCCCAGGCTGGAGTGCAATGGCATGATCTCGGCTCACAGCAAACTCCACCTACCAGGTTCAAGTGATTCTCCTGCCTCAGCCTCCTGAGTAACGGGATTACAGGCCTGTGCCACCGTGCCTGGCTAATTTTGTATTTTTAGCAGAGACGGGGTTTCTCCATGTTGATCAGGCTGGTCTTGAACTCCCAACCTCAGGTGATCCACCCACCGCAGCCTCCCAAAGCTCTGGGATTACAGGAGTGAGCCACTGCCCCCAGCCCAAAAAACTATGTTTTTCTTTATAAATCATGATCATCTCAAATGTAATCTTTCACACACAGTGCATTTTAATTCTTGGAAGATGTACGTTCACTGCAATTCTATAGGTCAACCCGCCTTACCGCAAAAAATATATTTCATAAATACCATATAAAATTAGGTTGTGTCCCTCCTCTCCTGTGTAAGTAGCCAATTTTATGAAAAATTGAGCAGAATCAAAAAAGTTTCCTTATAAAAAACATTATATCAGAGTGACTGGGGACACAACAGGTATGGGGGAGGAAACGTGGGTTTTAGAATAAGTTTTGATATAATATCCCAGATACCCTCTAGGTTATTATATTATATATTTATAGTATGTAATTCTGGTACAGATTTGATATGATATGATATGATATGATATGATATGATATGATATGATATATGATTCTGAAAACAATCAAACAGAGCCCCTGCCCTAAGGGACCATGGAAAGGGCTGCCCAGAAGCCTTGCTTTTTCCATGTGGCCATTCTCAGCAAGCTAGGCCTGACTGGTACAAGGATGAAAACTGACCCAAGCTGGGCTGCCTCCCAGCTTTTGGCTGGATCTATAAAAGGTAAATTCAAGAGCTATGGGTTGGCTGATGTTACCACATAGACCCAAATGCAGAAAAGGCAGGAGAGATGGAACCCCCGATAGGCTCGGGTTCCCACCACCAGCGCTTCCTCAGGGCCAGCAGCACCCAGCACTTGGATTCCATAAGCTTCCTTTTCAGTGAAAACTCATTTTCTAATGTTGCTAACTAGAGTTTCTTGCAACCACAGAGTCTGAACTTTTCATACACTGCCCTGCCCCACTTCTCATTCCACCTTTCCAGCCACACTGCTCAGTCTTCTCCAGAGAGAATGAGAATTTGCTCCCTCAGTCCACTTGGTCTGCAAGCGGGGAAAGCAAGCTCTATGAGAATGTTGTGGGGGACCCTCAGGAAACCACTCCTCCCCGTAAGTCCTGGGACTCTCTGCCACTGCCAAACATCTTCTTATGGGAAGCAGATGAGAATAACAGACTTTCTATAAAAGTTAAGTGAAAAGCTTACCAAATAAGGCAAAAAAAAAGGTTGAATGAGATGTCGCCAAGGGCCCTTAATTTCTGTACCAAGTGAAACAATTAAAAAACAGGAGAACATCGCCCCCGCGCCCCAGCCCTGGAACAGCAATTCACAGTGGCTCCCAGGGGCTTGGCTGCAAGCTCAAGCAGCCCTTCTGTTACCCACCCAGAGCTGTGGGAGGTGGGCCAGCTCTGGGGACAAGCACTGCTCACTTAGTTGAAGCATCCTTCCTTCAGTCAAACCGAAGATGGCAGATCCAGGTTTGGCTCTGGCCATAATAGCTCCAGAGCCTGTGTTATTAACCGCTATGCTCCACCACTTCCCTCTGGCTTCTCCTCCTCCCTCCATACCCTGACCTGTCCAACCCATGTTCCACTCCAGATCAGCCTTCCTTAGGAGCAGCTTTATTATCATCACTTTCTTGCTGAAACCCAGCAGCTGCATCTTGTTCCCAGGCCAATTCTCAGAATGCCAATTTGATTATGTCCCAGCATGACCCACAACCCTTTAGTGGCATGGTCTACCATATCTCACAAAATCTTTCTCTAATGCTCCTCTGTGTCCTAATGAAAACCTCTCTCCTTGTCCACTCTATTGGTATTCTCGACAAATTAATTCAGTTCCTTGGTTGCACTAGCCACTGTTCAAGTGTTCAAGAGTCACACGCGACTGTAACTACCACATTGGACAGCACAGCTCTAAACTTTCCTTGGTTCTTCTAAGGTCCCAGCTCTCTGCTGCCTCCAGCCTTTTTAAGCTATACCCTCTGTCTTTAGCGGGTTCCCAGTCTCTCTTTCCCAACCCTCTTCTTAAATTCCTTTTGATCCTTCAAGTCTCAGCTTAAACACAACTAATCCAGGCTTCACAAGAAGCTTTCCTTGCCCTCTCATGCCTAGGTTAAGTAACCCTCTTAAACACTCCAGAACATATTTAATAATTGAGATTATTTATATACAATCTGTTATTTCCCATAAGGATACGTACACTATCTTATAAACGGCTCTATCTACACTGTCTAGTGGACAGTCAATAAAGACTCACTAACCTTATTCTTGTATATAACGTCTACAAGAAGGGGAAGCCTCCCCTACCTTTCACCCTGAACTTCCTCTGATCCTCCCTGCCTCTCCTACACCCCAGCCATTAAATAAATTGCACAGCTTGTAACTCACTCTCCTCTGGACTCATCCTGTGTTCTCACTCGAGCTTTTCCTGAACTGTGCCCTCTCTGGCTATCCCATCCCATTTCAGCTCTCAAACTCTGCCCCTTTCAAATGCCACTTCCTACAGGGAGCCTTTAGGATTCTCAACATTGAGCTGAAATTGTTTATTCTTTACTTTTTTTTTAACTTTTATTTTAAGTTCAGGGGTACTTGTGCAGGATGTGTAGGTTTGTTACATAGGTAAACTTGTGTCATGGGGGTTTGTTGTACAGATTATTTCATTACTGAGGTATTACGTCTAGTATCCATTATTTATTTTTCCTGATCCTCTCCCTCCTCCCACCTTCCACCCTCCAATAGTCCCCAGTGTGTGTTGTTCCCCTCTATGTGTCCATGTGTTCTCATCATTTAGTTCCGACTTACAAGTGAGAACATGTGGTAATTTGGTTTTCTGTTCCTGTGTTAGTTTGCTAAGGATAAGGGCCTCCAGCTCCATCCATGTCCTTGCAAAGGACACGATCTCATTCTTTTTCATGGCTGCATAGTATTCCATGGTGTATATGCACCACATTTTTTTTATCCAGCCTATCATTGACAGGCATTTAGGTTGATTCTATGTCTTTGTTATTGTGAATAGTGCTATTCTTTGAACTATTTTGTAGACTATGTTTGGAATTGCTACTCTTCAAGTGTGTGTCTCCTCCTGCTGGCCCCTGCTGTGTGGCTTGAAGAGCAGGGGCCACATCATCCCAGTACCCAGCACCCACCACTGTGTCTGGCACATGGCACACACTCAATGAAGGTGAAGTTGTGGGGGACCACTGAATATCAGTCAGAGTCATCAACAAGTGAGGATCTGCTGAGCTTGGATAGTTAACAAAGATGATGGCAGAAGAGGAACTGCAAAGTAACTATTTGAGTAGCAATGTATTAAAGAGGCAGCAGAGAAAGCTAATGAACCTCTCCAGTATACTTTTGGCAAACTGATTCTCTTTTAAAAGACAGTAGTGTAAAGGCCAAAGGAGTAACAGATATTCCATCATGGTAGCTGTCAATTTTACTGGAAAAATTATGCCCTAATGAAAACTGATATTTGAGTTTCATTCTTTGTTCCTTCTAAAAATGAGCACAGTTTCACTTGTCACCTACATTTTGTTAAATGTAAGAGTTAAACACTCATTTCATACCATTTAATTTCATTTGCAAGATGAAGGTCCAATCTAAAGTTACTAACTTTCCTCTCATTACATATACAAATTTTGGTCCCCAATTTTGGTATCAATTGGTTCCAACATGAATATCCTCACATAAGGAGGATCTCCTTCATAGGGATACAGTTGTAATGAATTCCCTGTAACAATTTAACATTCCAAAGATTGTCACTTCTTCTTTGGTCTCAAGCCAATTCACCTAGAGCAAAATTATCCTCTTAATACCCACATAGAAACTGGCCAGAGATGTTTTCAGAACAGGAAGCTCTACAGCAGCAACAAGCAAAGCAAATATAATACTAGCCCATTTCCATTCATCTTACTGCCTTTGGCAAGGAAGAGCCCTTAACATTTCACTCTCAGGCTTATGTAACTTACAAGATAGTAACTTAAGTTCAAAGTGTTTTTTATTTTTAGTCTGATAATTCAATTCACTTTTGATTTTCTCACTGATTTACAAATATAATATAAGAAAGGGTGAGACACTAGCAAGATGGTGGAGTAGGAGACCCCAGCCATCACTTCCCCCATGAAGAGCAACAATTCAGCAACTGTCCATGAAAAAAAAAAGTGTTTCTGGAAGAGCTTAGCAGTCTACTTAAGTAGCCTCAACAATACAGTGAAATTAAAAAAAAAAAAAAGCCATGAGAATCACCTCCCAAAAATAATAGGAAGAACAGTTTCATTTTCTCTGCACCAACCCATCTGTCATCTGCCCTATAGCTGTGATCAGCACAGAGAGGAACTCCCTAGCTCCAGCAGCCCCCCGCAGAGAAAAGGATCAGAAGGGGTTGTTATAAACAACTATATGCCAACAAATTGGATAACTTAGAGAAATAGATAAATTCCTAGAAGCATAACCTACCAAGACTGAATCAAGAAGAAACAGAAGGTCTGACCAAACCAATAACAAATATAGACTGATGTAGTAATTAAAAGCCTCCCAACAAAGAAAAGCCCAAGACCAGATGGCTTCACTGCTGAATTCTACCAAACATTAAAAAAAGAATTAACAACAATTCTTCTTAAATTCTTTCAAAAATAGAACTAGAGGCAATACTTCCAAACTCATTTTATAAGACCATGATTATCATGGTACCAAAGCCCAAAAAAGGCACCACAAGAAAAGTATAGGCCAATATCTCTGATAAACATAGAAGCAAAAATCCTCAATAAAACATGAGCATCCTGAATTTGATAATACATCAAATTATTATACATTGTGACCACAATGTATATCCCTGGGATGCAAGGTTGATTTAACACATGCAAGTAAATTAATGTGATACATCACATTAACAGAATGAGGGCTAAAAACCATATGATCATCTCAATATATGCACAAAAAGCATTTAACAAAGTTTAACATCCTTTCATGTTGAAAATTCTCAAGAAATTAGGTTAAACAAAGTAGTTTCCTCAGCATAATAAAGGTCACTTATGAGAAGCACACAGCTAATATCATACTCAATGGGGAAAAACTAAAAGCTTTTTCCTTAAGATTCCATATAGGGCAAGAATGCCCACTCTTGCCACATCTATCAACGTAATATTGGAAGTACTAGCAAGATCAATAAGGCAGGCTGGGTGTGGTGGCTCACGCCTGTAATCCCAGAACTTTAGGAGGCCGAGGCAGGCAGATCACTTGAAGTCAGGAGTTCAAGACCAGCCTGGCCAACGTGGTGAAACCCCGCCTCTACTGAAAATACAAAAATTAGCTGGGAATGGTGGCGTGCACCTGTAATCCCAGCTACTTGGGAGGCCAAGACAAGAGAATCTCTAGAACCTAGGAGGCAGAGGTTGCAGTGAGTCAAGATTACACCACTGCACTCCAGCCTAGGTGACAGTGTGAGACTCCATCTCAAAAAAAAAAAAAATCAATAAGGCAAGAACAAGAAAAGGCACTCAAATAGGGAAGGAAGAAGTAAAATTATCCCTATTTGTAAGTAACATGATCCTACATGTAGAAAGCCCTATAAAGACCCCATAAAAAAACTGTTAAAATAATAGATGAATTCAGTAAAGTTGCAAGATAAAAAAAATCAACATACAAAAACCAGTTGCATTTGTCTACAGCAAATATGACCTATCCAAAAAAAAAAAAAATCAAGAAAATGATCCGATTTACAATTTCAAAAGCAACAAAATAGGAATAAATTTAACCAAGGAGGTGAAAGGTCTGTACACTGAAACTATAACACATTGATAAAAGAAATCAAAGAAGACACAAATAAATGGTAAGACATCCCATGTTCATAAATTGGAATAATCAATATTGTCAAACTATCCATACTATCCAAAGCAGTCTACAGGTTCAACATAATCTCTATTAACATTCCAAAGTCATTTTTCACAGAAATAGAAAAATAGTTCTATGATTCATATGGAACCATGAAAGACCTCAAATAGGCAAAGCAATCCTGAGGAAGAAAAATAAAGTGGAGGCATCACACTCCCTGACTTCAAATTATCCTACAAAGCTACAGTAATCAAAACAGTAGGGTACTCACATAAAAACAGACACACAGGCCAATAAAAAAGAACAGAGAGTTCAGAAAGAAATCCAAGCATATATGGTCAACTAATTTTCAACAAGGGCACCAAGAAGACACAATGAGGAAAGGACAGTGTCTTCAATAAATGCTATTGGGGAAACTGGATATCCATATGCAGAAGAATGAAACTGCACCCTTAACTTACACCATACACAAAAATCAACTCAAAATGAATGAAAGACCTAAAAGTAAGACCTGAAACTGTATAACACCTAGAAGAAAATATAGGAAAAAACTTCTTGACATTGGTTGTAGCAATGATTTCTCAGATGAAACACCAAAAACATAAGCAACAAAAGCAAAATAAAGAAGTGTAACTACATCAAACTAAAAAGCTTCTGCATAGCAAAGGAAACAACAACATTAAAAGGCAGCCTATGGATTGGGAGAAAACATTTGTGAACCATATATCTGATAAGAGGTAAATATTCAAAATATATGAGAAACAAAACTCAATAGGCCAGGCACAGTGGCTCATGCCTGTAATCCCGACACTTTGGGAGGCCAAGGTGGGTAGATCACCTGAAATCAGGAGTTCGAGACCAGCCTGGCCAACATACTGAAATCTTGTCTCTCCTAAAAATACAAAAATTAGCCAGGTACAGTGGTGTGTGCCTGTAGTCCCAGCTACTCAGGCGGCTGAGGCAGGAGAATCACTTGAACCTGGGCGGTGGAGGTTGCAGTGAGTTGAGATCATGCCACTGCACTTCAGCCTGGGTGACAGAGTGAGAATCCGACCAAAAAAATAAAATAAAATAAAATAAAATAAAATAAAATAAAATAAAATAAAATAAAATAAAATTCAACAGAAAAAATACAAAAACAAAAACACAAATAACTAGATTTTTTTTTTTTTTTTTGAGACGGAGTCTTGCTCTGTCTCCCAGGCTGGAGTGCAGTGGCACAATCTCGGCTCACTGCAAGCTCCGCCTCCCAAGTTCATGCCATTCTCCTGCCTCAGCCTACCGAGTAGCTGGGACTACAGGCGCCCACCACCATGCCCAGCTAATTTTTTGTATTTTTAGTAGAGACAGGGTTTCACCGTGTTAGCCAGGATGGTCTCGATCTCCTGACCTTTTGATCCACCCGCCTCGGCCTCCCAAAGTGCTGGGATTACAGGTGTGAGCCACCGCACCCAGCAAATAACCAGATTTTTAAATGAGCAAAGGACCTAAATAGGCATTTCTCCAAATAAGTCAAAAAATAGTCTTCAGGTTTATGGAAAGGTGCTCAACATCACTAATCATGATGGAAATAACAAATCAAAACCACAATGAGATATCTCCCCACTCCTGTTGGAATGGCATTAGCAAAAAACAAGAGGTAGCCAGGTGAGGTGGCACATGCCTTTAGTCCCAGCTACTCGGGAGGCTGAGGTATAAGGACCACTTGAGCCCAGTAATTTGAGGCCAACCTAGGCAACACAGCAAGACCTTGTCTGTGTAAATAAATAAATAAGCAAACAAACAAGAGGTAACAAATGTTGGCAAGGATATGGAGAGAAGAGAACCCTTAAATACTGTTGGTCAGAATGCAGACTTTTAAATAAAACTACCATATGACACAGCAATCCTTCTTCTAGATATATACTCCAAGGAAATGAAGTCACCACCTCATAAAGATATCTGCACTCCCACATTCACTGCAGCATTATTCACAATAGCCAAGATATGGGAACAACCAAAGTGTCTGTTGACAGATAAATGGATAAAGGAACACATACAGGTTGAGAATCCCTTATCCAAAATGCTTGGGACCAGAAGCATTTTGGATTTCTGATTTTTTTTTCAGGTTTTGGAATATTTGCATTATTCTTAACAGTTGAACATCCCAAATACAAAAATCCAAAATCCAAAATGCTCCAATTAGTTTTTCCTTTGAACATCATGTCAGCACTTTAAAAGTTTCAGATATTGGAGCATTTCGAATTTCAGATTTTTGAATTTAGGATACTCAACCTGTATACACACACACACAGTGGAATATTATTTTGCTTTTAATAAGGAGATCCTGCTATTTGGGTCAACGTGGGTGAAGCTATAAGACATTATGCTAACTGAAATAAACCAAACACAGAAAGAAAAAGGCTACATGATCTCACTTACATGTGGAATGTTTTTTAAAAATCAAATACAATAGAAACAGGATAGAAGAATGGTTATGGCAGGAAGCGGGGACAGTGGGTAAAACAGGGAGATGTTGGCAGGGCGCAGTGGCTCACGCCTGTAATCCCAGCACTTTGGGAGGCCAAGGCGGGTGGATCATGAGGTTAGGAGTTTGAGACCAGGCTGGCCAACATGGTGAAACCCCGTCTGTACTAAAAATACAAAAAAAAAAAAAATTAACTGGGTGTGGTGGCAGGCACCTATAATCCCAGCTATTCGGGAGGCTGAGGCAGGAGAATCACTTGAACCCAGGAGGCGTAGGTTGCAGTGAGCCGAGATCTTGCCACTGCACTCCAGCCTGGGCAAAAGAGCGGAACTCCATCTCAAAAACAAAACAAAACAAAAAAACAGGCAGATGTAGGTCAAGTACAAAGTTGTAATTACATAGGATGAATAAATCTAGAGATCTAATGTTCAGCATGAGGACTATAGTTAATAACAATACATATTATTAACTATAGTTTTATAGATATATTCCAGTATTGCATAATGGAAATTTGCTAACAGAGTAGATTTTAGGTACTCTTACCACACAGACACAATCAAGAAAGGTAACTACATGACATGTTGGATATGTTCATTTGCTTGAATATTGTAATCACTTCACAATGTACAGTCAATTCCTGCATCATGATGTCTCGATAAATGACGGACCACATATATGACACTAGTACCATATGATTATAATACTGTATTTTTACTGGACGTTTTCTATGTTTAGAAATATTTAGATACACCATTGCATTACAATTGCCTACAATATTCAGTCCAGTAATATGCTGTACAAGTTAGTAGCCTAGGAGCAATTGGCTATACCATATAGCCTAGGTATGTAGGAAGCTATACTATCCAGGTCTATGTAAGTATACTCTACAATGTTCACGCAATGTCAAATTGCCTAAAACGCATTTCTTAGAACGTATCCCCATCGTTAAGCAACACATGATTGTGTATCAAAACATCATGTTGTATACCTTATATTTATACAATAAAAATAAATAAAAAGCACATATATAAAAAACAAAATAAATATAAGAGAATTCTAAAATTCTAAAATACATATTTGTTCTAGCCCCTACACACCTTCAGCAAGTAAAAACTTGAGAAATTCTCAGTATTCCAGAATAATACAGAATTTATATTTGCTAACTTACAAAATAAATCAACTTTTAATGTGTTATAATTGTTTAATTTGTTATATTATAGTAAGCCTAACTGGTATAAGTGACTTGACTCCCACTTAATCTAAAGCAAGTCTAATAACTTTTAAATTTCAATTAAACATTGAAAGACCAAAATAGAAGGGCAGGCCAATTTGGTAAAGTTTACTCCCCCAATCTAACAAAACGTATCGCTTTACAAGTTCTAATTTTCACCAGCCTTCTCCCAGACCTTTCCACACTATATACTCAGCTGACTTTAACCTGATGTGGAATGTCCCTAAAGTTGATTGTGCATGACTGTATATGTATATCAAAACATTATGTGGTACGCCTTAAATTTGTGAGTGAGACCATTCCTATTTTCTAGTAACAATCAGCTAGGTTTGAGGTTAAAGATACAAATAGGAGGCAAAATTATAATAGAAAAAAAATTTCAGATCCATCAATAAAAAGAAAACAATGGAAATTTCATTAAGTACTAGCACTTTGGCTAACGTTATAAACATGCAAGATCCTAACAGCTTGGAAAAAATTGTAACACATCCAGCTGTAAAGGATATTGAGAAGAACTGAGAGTTCCAAGCACCATTTTGACTAAAAAGCAGTAAAGTCAAGTTACTATTCTGAGGAATTAGATCCTTCCTGGTTCTCATCTCAAATTTATTTCATCACAAGCTTTATTTCACCAGTGCTGAAACCCACAAGGAGCTACCTAAACTCACTGGCACCACAACTATCTAGAAGTCCTATCTTAGATGATCCAAATTCAACACACTAAGACACACTCAATTTCCTCATGGGTGAGTCTGCTCAGACCCTCCTCTGCATAATTTTAACAAGCTTGGCAATCTAACTCCCAGCCTAAAGAAAATTAACAAACAAAAGCTGAAATGTGAGAAAAGTGCTACAGACACAAATATTGTCAAAAGTGAGAGGTGATGTCTTAGCAACATAGGAGGAACTAGGGGAAAAAAACACAAAACACCAAAAGTGGACATTAAAAGTTCATCTGAGACCACTTAGGAAGGAAGCAAATAACCCTATATTCCCAAATACATCTAAAGGCACCCACCCCTTCACAGGAAAGAGTAATAATAGACATGGTTAATCATGACCCTCAGCTATGAAGAAAAGGCTCCAATCTGCTCAGAACGGTCTATGTGTTAAGAAAGCCAGGAAAATTCAAATAGTTGTAATTTATAAAGATTTCACTCAGAGTGGTTAATCAGTTTTGAAAGTGTTGACACTTAAAGGGTGAGGCTCTGGTCACTTGGGGAATAGTCTTATAAAAAAAAGCTCCTTTTTCCCACCCCATCAGTTAATGAAGCACTGCATATGGACGCTCCACATTGGAAGCCGTTCCAAGGACAGCATTCCAAAGTCAGCTATAACAACAAACAGCAGATGTCCAGAAAGGCACAGATATCTCCTCCCTACACCCAAACCATTTAAGGAGGAAAAAATAGACCATAAAATGTGTGACCAGATAGGCATAATTGTCAATTAGCTGAAAAACAAATCTCTAAGTTTCCAATGAGGGCACAAGAGCACCTAAAAAAAAAAAAGAAAGAAAAACAACAAATCATTCTAATTTTTACAAAAAAATGAACCAAATAAATTTTTCCTTGAACAACTGCCAGGCCTACAGGCAGATCTTCCAATACAAAATGATCAAACCTGAAGAATTTTCCCAAGAGAGTAGATACTTCCAAACAGCAAATTTCCATTTTAAAATAAGCACATTTATTGCCATTTTTCCAGTTTCCAGAATGTGTATGGTTGTTAAATATTAAATTCTAGTTTTTAAATTCCGGTAATGGAGGAAGGATAGCCCATATTTAGGGTGGGGCCATGTGAGGGATGAATACCCCCAAATTAATAAAATCTGTCAACTTGGCAAAGACCAGAACTGAGATCTATCTGGATGAAATGTGACTATCATGGCCAAATCTGAGCTGTAGTGTGTTTCCCACCAGCATGGCAGGCTATTTGTGTATTCATTTATAATTTTTTCATTTCTTCTACAAAGACTCTGTGGAAGATCTATGGCTGAAAACAAGGCCTATAAAAGACCAGCCATGGGCAGGGCATGGTGGCTTATGCCTGTAATCCCAGCACTTTGGGAGGCCAAGGTGGGCGGATCACGAGGTCAGGAGATTGAGACCATCCTGTCTAACACAGTGAAACCCCGTCTCTACTAAAAATACAAAAAGAAATTAGCCAGGTGTGGTGGCGGGTGCCCGTAGTCACAGCTACTTGGGAGGCTGAGGCAGAAGAATGGCATGAACCCAGAAGGCAGAGCTTGCAGCGAGCCGAGATTTCGCCACTGCACTCCAGCCTGGGAAACAGAGCAAGACTCCATCTCAAAAAACAAAACAAAACAAACAAACAAAAAAAACCAGCCTTGTACTTTCTTCACACATTTTCTTTACGTTGTGAAAAACTTAAGTGGGAAAATCACACTCTCATTCAAACTGTTCAAAATACAGGTAACAATGCCAAGGAAGATGAAGCAACCCAGTGGTTCCCACTTTATCCATTCTTTGTCTCTGTCAGGGCATGCACCCTAGTCCTCTAGGGTGATGAACTCCTCCTGGTTTTCCCAGGATTTCCCCAGCCTTAATGAAAGTCTCATATCCTGGGAAACCCCTCACTCTCAAGCAACTGGGACGGTTGGTCATCCTACAGGAGCAATGACATCCACGTGGGCAGCACCTGGAGATATGGTTATGCACAGTCCCTTGGGAAATATAACTGAATTCAAGTAAGTAGGAGTCTCTTGTTCATATCTGGGTTCAAATCTCATCCCTTCTGCTTCCCAGCAGTGTGAACTTAAACTCTCTAGGCCTCAGTTTCTACAGCTATAAGATAGAGATAACAGAACCTTACACAAGGAATTATATGAGAATTAAGTACAATCACGGGCCCAAACTAAACTTTCTATTATATAAGCCATCTAGTAGCATTAGCTATTATCTCCATCATCATTATTTTTTAACTTTTATTTTAGGTTCAGGGGTACATGTGCAAGGTTATTATATAAGGAAATTGCATGTTGCAGGGGTTTGGTGTACAGATTATTTCATCACCCAGGTAATAAGCTTAGTACCCAATAGGTAGTTTTTTGATCCTCACCCTCCTCCCACCTTCCACCCTCAAGTAGGTCCCAGTGTCTATTGTTCCCTTCTTTGTGTCCAAGTGTACTCAGTGTTATAAGTGAGAACATGCAGTATTTGGTTTTCTGTCCCTGCATTAGTTTGCTTAGGATGATGGTCTCCAGCTCCATCCATGTTGCTGCAAAGAACACAATGTTCTTTTTTATGGCTGTGTAGTATTCTGTGGTGGATATGTACCAAATTTTCTATATCCAGTCTACCATTGTCCATCATCATTATTATATATAATCATAAAGTTTAGTTTTAGCACATTATTTGCAGATTTCATGACCTTAATTATTATTAAGAACAAATTGTTACCTCCAGATCTAACAATTAACGCTCACACTTGGGAACTCTGCTACATTCACCACTATAAAAATGACATCACCACCAAAATAAAAATCCATGTGAGACCCTTCTTCGCAATTCAAAGTAACCAACCTGGGCACACCAAAACCAAATAAAAACAACCCCAAAAGTATATCACTTGAACAAAAAAAGTAGATTTTCCTCCATCTCATTCGCTGTCAATAATTGCTTTCTCTCTTTCCTGCTCTGCCTATCTAGAAGAGTCCCATTATCAGCATCACCAAGGCTGTTGCCTAAATAGGCCAGGTTGAAACCACCATTTTCCCATCCTTGGTGACTATTCAGATGCAATTCTATGTGAAACTACAGACTCCATCTAGAAAGAAATGGAGATATGGAGATAAGGCCAGGCACAGTGGCTCATGCCTGTTATCCCAGCACTTTGGGAGGCCAAGGCAGGCAGATCACCTGACATCAGGAGTTCAAGACCAGCCTGGCCAACATAGTGAAACGCTGTCTCTCCTAAAAATATAAAAATTAGCCAGGCGGGGTAGTGCATGCCTGTAATCCCAGCTATTCAGGAGGCTGAGGCAGAAGAATCGCTTGAACCCAGGAGCTGGAGGTTGCAGTGAGCAGAGACCATGCCATTGCACTCCAGCCCCAGCGACAGAGATTTTGTCTCAATAATAAAAAACAAAGAAAGAAATGGAGGTAAAAATGGGTAACTGCAGGAACATGTCTCAACCAAAGACCTAACACTAGGCAAACAAAAATGCTCACATGACCAATGCTACGTTATGGGAACAGCCCTTGCATCCAATAAGCAAAGTCCTGAAGAACATACATTAGATGTAGTCTCACGTATAAAAGGGGTAACTCGTCCTCATCTCTGTAACGCAATAACCATGTTAACCACTTTCCTTCATAGCATCAGCTGATCTTCAACCAATCACAGCTGATGAGATTCTTCCATATATCCTGATTATTATCTGCTGGACCTGTGTCAGCAAACCTCTGCTATTTAAATGATTTCTTCCTTCCCTTGGACCACTGGGTTGCTTCATCTTCCTTGGTATTGTTACCTGTATTTGGGAAGTACGGCAGCATGAACAGAGGCATTAGCAAATGTGCCAAGATGAAAGGGGCATTCAAGGACACCTCCCACTTTTTTTTTCTTTCTTTTTTTTTTTTTTTTGGTGACAGGGTCTTGTTCCATTGCCCAGGCCAGAGTACAGTGGTGATCATAGCTCACCTGGACCTCCTGGGCTCAAGCAATCCACCCATCACATCTTCCCAAGTACCAAGGACCACAGGCACACACTACCATACCCAGCTAATTTTTGTAGAGACAGGGTTTTCCCATGTTGCCCAGGCTGGTCTCAAACTCCTGGCCTCAAGCAATCCTCTCATCTCAACCTCCCCAACTGTCAGTATTACAGTAGTCAGCCACCACACCCGGTCAAGGACACCCCTTTTACGGAGGATTCTTTTTTTCACATTCATGAAAATCAAACAAACTGTATTTTTTTTCTTATGGCTCTCAGCCATATTTTTTCTTTGGGGGTAATGATTTGTATTATTTTGCACACCAGAGTAGAAGCTCCCAAAAAAAGGCAAGATAGCAGGGCTGCCACTAGCCCATATGACTCCTTTGTGCAAATTAGAAAATGAAGCCCCTTCCCAAGACACTTCACTTCTATCTGCCAGAACACTGTTGCAATGTACTGATTTTGTTAGATAAGAAACTGTGTTGTCATCTTCTGACAAGCGTATAAAATATATGCAAATCCATGATCTCCATGATAAAAATGGTGCCCTCTAGAGTTGTGCAGTGCCCAATCTACACAATTCTGTACACTGACTCTAAATGACATCTCTTCATGTTTGTAGCATCACAACATTTCAGATAAATCACAGTTGTCTCTTGGTATAGATGAGGAATTGGTTACAGCAGGGGTATCCAAACTCCAGGCCGCCAACCATTACTGGTCCATGGCCTGTTAGGAATTAGACCACATGGCAGGAGGTGAGCAGAGGGCAAGGGAGCATTACCGCCTGAGCTCCCCCTGCTATCAGCTCAGCAGCAGCATTAGCTTCTCTTAGGAGCCTGAACCTTATTGTGAACTGCGCATACAAGGGATCTAGGCTGCATGCTACTTATGAGAATCTAGGTAATGCCTGATGATCTGGGGTGAAACAGCTTCATCTTGAAACCATCCCCTGCCCAGCCCTGTTTGTGGAAAAATTGTCCTCCACTAAACAAGTTCCCGATGCCAAACAGGTTGGGAACTGCTGGGTTACAGGACCACCTACCACAGCATACCAAAATCCACACACACTCAAGTCCTGAAGAACCTGAATACACAAATTCCCCTCCATAAACATGGGTTCAAATCCAGGGAAACCTGTATTTTCAATCTGCATTTGGTTGAAAAAAAAAATCCACATATGAGTGGACCTGTGTAGTTCAAGCCCATGTTGTTCAAAGGCCAACTATAATTGTGATTTGCCTAAAAACTGTCGTAACAAGTCAGATTCAAATATTGTTTGTGTGGGTGTGTGATTGTTCTGTGTGTATGTACCTTTATTATATATTATTTAAATAAATGTTGCCAAAAAGGAGAATTGTCTATGTCAGGTTAGATTACTGGCCCACAGCCATGAGAACAGCTATTCTTGATATACCAGGAAGAGAAATTTTAAAATACATGCCATACTAAGGCGATGACATGGTGAGAGAAAGAAGAAAAAAGAAAAATCTGGAGTTCTGGAGCAATCTGTTTATTCCCAAGGCAAAAATATTTATCCTTAACTTGTATAACCAAAAATGTTTCTAATGGTCACAAAAATAATTGCCCCATTTCAAAATCCAGTTGCTATAGTGCAGGAATAAAGTTTACCATGTGAGCCTCATCTTCCTTAAACACTTCTACATTTAGCTGCCATCAACTTCACCTTTCCCACCTTTAGATTCTGGCCTTTAAATGAGACCAGTAAGAGTTCACAAGGCCCAGGATAATGAGTTTTCCAGAAACACGATCCCAGTTTCCCAAGCAATGGAAGGGCCAGACTACCATGAGAGTCACAGCTTAAAGAAAGTAAATAATTCAAAAATAAAAATTTGTAAATAAGCAGATTTTTTTATGACCTCCTCTGCTGGCAGAGCACTAACTCAAGCAGACTGCTTTTCCTCACCCTCTGATATCATCACCACTAGCACCAGTGAGTGTAGTACGGCCAATGAAAACAGCAGAGAGGGGAAGAAGCCAGCCCAGTTGAGATTCTAATAAGGGTTGGGTATACCCTTCTTGTTGCTTCAGCTCAATCCACTACTATCATTGTCATAACACAGAAAGTTTCTTAGTCCCATTTTAACAGAGGTGGAACCTGAGTCTCAGAGCAGTTAAACAACTTGCCAGAGGTCACATAGCTTTTAATGGTTAGGCATGTCTGGGTTCAAAGCTCTTGCCCTTCTGCTACACCACACTGCCCTGGGTAGAGCTTTAGATCAGTGCATCTCAGACCTTCATGTGTCCACAGGTCTCTTGAAGATCTTGTTACAATGCAGATTCTAATTCCAGAGGCCTGGGACACAGCTCTTAGCTAGCAAACTCCCAGAAGATGTTGATGCTGGTTGCTGGACTGCACTTTTAGTAGCAAGACTTTGAATCAGTGGTTTTTCAACAGGGGATGACTCTATCCCACAGGAGACACCTGGCAATGTCTGCAGACATTTTTGATTGACATGACTTGGGGGAGTAATGCTACTAACATCTGATAGATGGACGTCAGGGATGTTGCTAAATGTCCTACATGAGGACAAGCCCCCATCCCCAGCAAAGAACTATCCAGCCCAGAATGTCAACAGTGCTGGCGTGGTTGAGAAACCCTTAGAGGGCCTGAGTTCATTTAGACTTCTTTCAAAGCCGCTGTAGATTTGCAAACTTGCACTGGAGTTAAAGGTAGCTCTAGTACTTAAGAAATTCTCCATAAAGCCTGATAGAAATGTTGATGCCATGTAACTGATAGCTGGAGCATGATGAAGTTTAATTTCCTCACAAATATTCTGTCATTGTGCTGAAGAAAATCAAATCAGCTGATTACAGACAGGGGTTCCAGAAACTGCCCAGAGTTTCTGTAAGGTCCTTGTATCTTATCACTGGATGTCACAATAGAAAATGCAAGGGATTAGATTATTTTTAGATACAAATTTTATAATTTCCTGTTCTGGCAGCTCAAACCTTTACCTTGTTAGCAAGGATCACATGAAACCATCTTTTATTATTCAGCATTAGCTCCTGAAACCTACTATCAATATCATGCTGGGATACTGCCATGCTCTGCACCCAGCATCCATTCAACTCCCAAACTCAGCTAAAAAAAAAAAAAAAAAACAAACTCAGTCATTCATCTGGCTCTTTAATGTCACAGCACCAAAAAATTAGTTCAAGTTGAATATTTTTGACTAAAGTAACCATGGCATATTGTGGTGTTAAGAATCTTTAAATGCCATATTGTTTAATTACAGCATATGCTTAGGAAGACTACATTTGAATATAATTTGAGAGGTGAATTAAGGTTTGGTTAAAATTATATAGCTTCTTTGGGAGGAGGAGGATTTGAGAAAGAACAACGCATGTGCTAGTGCAGGGGTGTCCAATCTTTTGGCTTCGCTGGGCCACATTGGAAGAAGAATTGTCCTAGGCCACACATAAAACATATTAACACTAATGATAGCTCCTGAGCCTAAAAACACACACATACACACACACAAAATCTCATAGTGTTCTAAGAAAGTTTACAAATTTTGGGGGGCCACATTCAAAACCATCCTGGGCCACATGTGGCTTATGGGTTGGACAAGCTTGTACCAGTATATCAGGGCCCGAGGCCATACATGCCCCCATCTTTCCTACTTATCTGTCGATGAACTTTGCCTCATCCCTAGGGACCAAACGCAAAGGTCCCTCCCATGAGAGTCTCTATCATCTCAGTGTCCCCTTCAAGACATAGTTTAGAGTTAAAGGTTCTCCATAAAACAACTGAATGCAAGAGTGAATGAATGAATGAATGAGTTCTCTCGCCCTTGATGGCCCTGTTTTCTGGGTTCTCCCTCCTCTCTAAATATTTCCTTCTCAGTTTTTTTCACTGCTCCTCTTCCTTCTTATTTGTCTTAAACAGAGATATGCCCTAATTCTATCATCAGACCCTCCTCACTTGCAGGGACAGGGGGAGGTGAAGGGGTATCTAAACTCCATCTCTTATAAATGCTTCCCAAACCCACATCTCTAGCCTAGTCTTCTGCCTTGAAATGCAAACCCATATTTTCAAATGCCAAACATTCCTTCTCCTCCCAAAACCCTGCCTCCCTCGTGACTGTCACAGGCATTAGAAATGACCCTGTCCCCAAAGCTGAAAACTCCAGGCTCTCCAATACCTCCACCCTCCTCATTCTTTAGGTTCTTAGATGTTCCTGTTTCAAGGCATCTTCTTATATTCCTTTCCCTGTCTATTCCCACTGTCATCACCTTAATTCTACCTTATGAACAGTCTCCTAGGCTTTCAAAACTGACTCCTAAATGGTGGGTTCAGGATTTCCGTTCACCCATATATTTTCATACTTCCTAGACACTTGAAGCCTGATTAAAAAACAAGCCAAATTACCAAAAAAAAAAAAAAAAATTAGTATAAACATCTAATTTTCTTTAGGGAAACTGGCAAGGAAACTGGTTACAGAGAGAATAAGGGTTGGGATTGCCCCTTGGGAAGCCCTTGTTACTCAGCAGGCTGCACCAGCCCCACTCCGACTCTCCCACACACAAAGGAGGCAGAGTAGCCCGAGGATTGGGAGCACAGGACTGTTGGCCCCCTGACTGTGACTTCCTGTAAGGCCTTAGGCAGAGTAATCCCCTTCCTGTGACTCCATTGCTTCATTTGTAACAAGGGGAGATTAATAGGCTCAGCTTTACCAGGGTTGTTGTGAGGATTAAAGGAGTTACTACATATCAAGAGGTTAGAATAGTGCCTGCCCCACCGTGGGTGACTGATAAATGTTAGTCATGATGATGACAACAACAACTATCTACTTAGTAAAGACTGCAATATCCCAGAGCAGAGTTCAGACTGGTGGGATCAACAGTATTCAATAAAATGACCTAGCAACATCATTAACTCTGTGTTCCAATCCCCTGAGAGGGACATCACATTGTTTCTTTCAGGAATGCATGACCTTTGTCCAATCATGCGAAGATATGGGAAGGGTCTGAAGTGAGGGAAATTCAGCTAAATAATTGATCAATACTCTTCAAGGGTGCCAAGATCATGGTAGATAAGGAATAACTAAAGAATTGTTGCAAACTGCAGGACACTAGGGAGAAATAACAACTAAATGTAACATAGGATCCTGGAATGGCAATAAAAGAACATTGGTAGAAAAACTGGTGAAGTTTAAATGAGGACTTTAGTTTGGTTAATGGTATCTACTGTTTTAGTCCATATTTGTGTTGCTATCAAGAAATACCTGAGGCTGAGGCTGGATAATTTATAAAGAAAAGAGGTTTATTTGGCTCACAGTTCTGCAGGCTGTAAAGAAGCCTGACACAGGCATCTGCTCAGCTTCTGATGAGGGCCTCATGCTGCTTCCACTCCTGGTGGAAGAGGAAGGGGAGCCAGCGTGCAGATCACATGGTGAGGGAGGAGGTGAGAGAAAGGAGGAGGTGCCAGTTTCTTTTAAAGAACCAGCTATCATGGGAACTAATAGAGTGAGAACTCACCCTTATAGCACCAAGTCATTCATGAGGAATCAGCCCTCATGACCCAAACACTTCCCACTATGCCCCAACTCCAGCATTGGGGATCACATTTCAACATGAGTTTTTGAGTATTACATATCCAAATTATAGCATGTGCCATACCAGGCAGAAATGGTAATTTCCTGGTTCTAATACTTGTACTCAAGTTATGTAAGAGAGGAACACTGAGGAAAGCTAGGGGAGAGACATACAGAAACCCTCTGCCTGATTTTTGCAAATTTTCTGTAAGTCTGTAAGTAGTTAAAAATAAAAATCTGATCCTTCACAAAAGAACACTAATGCAGCTTCACTCCAAAATCATTCCCTAACAGTTTTGGGTTTTTATCATATACTAAGGCATTACTAGGGTTCATGGAAGCATCAGTGAACTGGACATGGTTCTTCCTTTTGATATTTCACAGTCTAGTGGGAAAGGCAGTCAAGTAAATGAATATTTAGTAATTGTTATGAGCAATATATGCACAAGTAGGGACCTTAATCCAGTCCAGGGCAGGAAGGACTGAAAGTGAGGATATCCAGAGAAGGTAAAACACCTGGGCTGAATATTGTAGGACAAGTAAGGGTTAGTCAAGTGAGGATGGAGGAGGAAGGAAGCCCCAGCAGTGGGGGAGTCACACAAACACAGGCACAGAGCCCAGAAGCTGGCTGTTCAGCAAAGCCAGAGTTTAAGCTGACTGGGAGAGGCAAGTGAGAAAGGAAAAGTAGGTGATAAGGTGGAAAAATGTAGGCAGGGGCCTTGTAAGCCAGGCTCAAGACTTTGTACTTTGTCCTTCGGGCAATGCAGGGTTCTGAAAGGACAGACATACATTTTTCTAAGATGATCCTGAGAGTAGCATGAAGAATGAACTACAAGAGGTACGAAGCTGGGAGACCAGTTAAGAGGACCAAGCCAAAGGTAAGAGCAATGGAAATGAAAGAACTTAGGCAGACTCAAAAGTGTGTAGAGAGAGAGAATAAATAGGGCTTAGTGATATATTGGATACAGAGGGTATGGTAAGCTGAGTAACGGACCCCCTCAAAGATGTCCACCTACTAATTCCCAAATCCTGTGTATATGTTACTTTACATGGCAGAAGGACCTTGCAGATGTGAATGAGTTAAGGATTTTAAAATGAGAAGATTATATTGTATTAACTAGGTGGGCCCAATGTAATCATAAGGGTTTTGATAAGAGGGAGGCAAGAGGGTCAAAGTCACGGGGCAGGAAATATGACCACAGAAGCAAGGGTCATAAAGAAATTTGAAAATGTTTCAGTGTTGGCTGGAAAATGGAGGGGGGTGCCACAAGCCAAGGAGTGCAGCTGGCCTTTAGAAGCTGGGAAAGGCAAGGGAATGAATTCCCCCTGAGAGCTTCCAGAAGGAATGCAGGCCTGACAACATCTTGATCTTAGCCCAGTGAAACTGACTTCACACTTCTGATCCCCAGGACTGTACAAGAATCATGTATTTGTATTGTCTAAAACCACTAAGTTTGTGGTAATTTGTTACCGCAGCAATAAAAAACTAATACAGGGAGTGATGGAGAAAGAGAAATTGATGAGGTTCCCAGTGTCTGGCTTGGGTTGGGAGGTACGTGGTGGTGACAGCAAGACAAGGACACAGGGGGAGAATAGTTGGGAAGAAGACAAGTTCCATTCTGGACAGGCTAATCCCAATATGTTTCTGCAACCCACAGGAAGTCCACTAGATGGTTACATGTATGGTGCTGGTGCTCAAGAGAGAGGTCCAGGCTTGGGATGGAATTTTCCACAAAGTTGCCACTCACCACTTGGTATATACTTAACTAGGTCTACCGAGTTTTCATGTTTTAATGAAAAGGTTAGCTTCAGGAGTACTACTGTTACTATTGCTATGGTTATGATATATGCTATGAGGAGTGACTATTTCTACAGGCAAGACTGAGTAAGGGAAAGAACAATACTTATATTCTAATAGCATGGCAGCTATGTTACCCTGAGGAAGTTACAAATTCTCTGTGCCTCAGTTTCCTTATCTTTAAAAAGAGAATAAATCCTGAATGGGATTAAATTTAAAATGAGTGCTTGGCACTTAGTTGAGTGCCCAACACAAAGTTAAGTGCTCAATAAAGGGGAGCTAAGTAAGAACAGCTTATACACAACCCATTAAGAATATTTTGATAAATCATAAGAAGTTCTTAAGTTGTCCAAAAAGCTGTAACAAATTGTAATTCCTTCCCCAGTCATTTTCTAAATGTATCGAATACTTCATTTGCTATAGGACATTAAAAGTATAGAGGACAGGCCGGGCACGGTGGCTCACGCCTGTAATCCCAGCACTTTGGGAGGCCGAGGCGGGCGGATCACGAGGTCAGGAGATCGAGACCATCCCGGCTAAAACGGTGAAACCCCGTCTCTACTAAAAATACAAAAAATTAGCCGGGCGTAGTGGCGGGCGCCTGTAGTCCCAGCTACTTGGGAGGCTGAGGCAGGAGAATGGCGTGAACCCGGGAGGCGGAGCTTGCAGTGAGCCGAGATCCCGCCACTGCACTCCAGCCTGGGTGACAGAGCAAGACTCCGTCTCAAAAAAAAAAAAAAAAAAAAAAAAGTATAGAGGACATTATCTCTGCTTACAATTTGTGCACAATTATGACAGGATATATATCAATAATGATAAAGAACAGTGTGCAAGCTGCTGGTGATACTAAAGATGAGTACAATGTGATTCCTGCCCTCAGGGAATGCACAGTCTTGAGAGAAGACAGATTAGATATAGATACAGATATAGATATAGACATATGTTTCTACATGTAGACTAACATTTATTGTGCACCTACTAAGTGCCGAGCTTTACGAGTATTTAACATGTATTACATTTAAGTTTACTTATTGAAGCCCTGTGAATCAGATATTTCCCATACAGTAGAATTGTCTCCATAACATTCTGAAGCAATTACAGAATGAAAGTGGGATGATGAAGATAAGGTTTGTCACATCTCAGAACAAACATCAGTACCCCAATAAGTGACATGTAAAATGCCACCAGGCAAGGTTTGATCCTGAGGAGAGAAGTCAATGGTTTGCAAAGGGTGCATGAACTTGCTTTACAAGGAGACCAACTGATCCGAGGGCAACTCTTGCTTATCCCCTCCTCATTTTTCTTCAAGGAAACATAAATGATATTTGCTGAGCCAAGCCTGTGCAAAGTGCTTTGCATAGGTCATGTCACTTGAGACCAAAGAGTAAACCCAAGCAGGTGAATGCAAAGATTTTGTAGCAGGCAGAGAAAACTGCTGATTAAAATTCTATTAGACCGCAAGTCTCCTGTAAATTTCACTAGCATTCCCAGGTCTCTTGCAAAAGTGCAGAACAGCTACTAGAAATATGACAACAAAGGCAATTAACCTCATAAAACAATGCAGATGAAAAAACAATGGGAGGAAAATGATTAAGGTTAAAATAAGAGAGGGAAACCAACATATTAAGAGAAAGAATAAGATTTTAAATGAGGTCATAATAGAAACCAGATGAGAAGCCCAAATAGAAAAGGAAAGTTTCAAAGAAAACAAACCAGAAAGAAGGAAAGGAATTGGGTGGGAAGAAATGACTAGAAGTTATTTTGACTTTCTACAAAACAATAGATGGTATGCTGGTTCTCATTTCTGAGGTCAAGTCCCCCATGAGGTCTCAGGCAAGTTACTTAACTGCCCTGATTAGGTAATAGGACAATGTCAGCACCTACATCTCATAGAGTTGTTCTGAGGAGGAACTGAGTACAGCACTGAGCTCCATGCTTGCAGCTAGAAGATCTTCCATCTAACAGTGGTGCTGCTGCTGCTGCTGCTGCTGATTTATGCTATCAACAGCATCCCACCAGGACCTCCCAAGATGAGATTCCATGACCTCTATTCCATGATAAGCCCAACAACCCTCAAATGTTCCAGTGCCACACAGATTCCTCAGGAGGCATCTGTGATTTCAGGAAATGTGGTCATTTTAGATCATTCTCTCTAAGTCCTCTATGCAATACACATTTGTATCTGCAGGGCAACAAAGCAAAGAGCCACCATGCAAAGATAACCACAGCCTAGAAAAAGAAGAAAAGATAATGAGTTATTCACAAAGGTTTCCTGTCTTCTGGAAAAGCCTGTGTCATTGTGTCTCAGAAGTCCCCACGGTCAGCACAAATATCCTCAAATGTCCACTAAATTTCATGATTGCTCTACCTGTAAGGGTTGCTTAAGGGGCATCCCAACAATACCCACTGAGGTTTGTGCCTGGCAGGTTTTTAAGGCATCTCAAGCTTTCAATGTGCAATTGGCAAAGATTTAGCCATCGTGCACCATTCTGTCCTTTAAAGCAGCTAAAGCTTGAATCTTTGAAATCATCTAAACCTTGACATGCATCATGAAAGTATTGCAACAGAGACCACTGACAGGAACACCACTGTGTATCATGAAGGTACAGTGGAACACCTACATTAAGAGTCATTTCTCGGCCGGGCATGATGGCTCATACCTGTAATCCCAGTACTTGGGGAGGCCAAGGCAGGAGGATCACTTAAGCCCAGGAGTTCAAGATCAGCCTGGGCAACATAGTAAGACCCCATCTAAAAAATAAAAAAATAAAAAGTCATTTCTACTGTCTAAGGCACAATCAGAGTTTGCCTCTTCTTTGCTGTGTGGACTCTGCCAGAATGACAAAGGCCCCCTCCACCCTTTACAAATAAATCACCTTGCAATGTATTCTATTTGAATATGGATGAGAAAAGGAGCATTTTAAAGAAGATCATTTGTCTAAACCAGGATTACTTTCTAGCACACTAAAAAGTGCACATAGGTAGTGAGGGAGCTCTTAATTCCAGATTCAAGTGATTAAATCATAAAAGAAGTTGTTGCTTTTTTTAAGGAACTCTTTGGAGAAATATTTTTAAGGCTGGACAAGCGGTACAAAAAGAAAGCGGCACAGATAAACCTAAAAGAAATTAAGCTTAGAGTGGCAGCTAATCTCCTTAAATAGGTTTCTGAGTGCAAGATGTGTTAAGTGTTGATAAGCATTTCCTTGGTAAATGGCCACTGGCCCCAGTGTGTGGCACTCCAAGAACAGAACCCCTGCCACAAATCTGCAAGATTCTCTGCAAAAAAAGAACTCTGCTTCATTAATAACTTTTTAAAACATGCACTAACTAATTCACACTGGCAGTTGAAATCTTCCCATCAAAATTCATTCTACAATCAGGCTAAGTTCAAAGATATATGCAGGGTAAAGAAAAAACTCAAGTTTAGAGAAGATTTGGGGTGAGTGGTGTAGGTGAACAAAATCATATAGTCTGAACTTAAAGTTTTAGAGTCAGGAAAATAGGATAAAACTAGATAGAGGACTTGGTCAAGTGGGTCAAAAAATAAAGGTTTCAATTGCATAAAAAGCCAAATGTGAGTTCAGATTTTTAACGTGTTATGCATAAATACTTGCTGCTATTTTAATATTTGCCTTGACTTGAGCTGTAGTGGGACTCTGCCTGAGGCAAGATTTTTAATAGCAATAATAAAAATACTTAATAGTACTTAGAGCAAAGCATGTGTGGTCACAATGTTTTAAAGGGGGAAAGAAAAGGTAATTTTGAACATCTGCACTGCATTTCCACATGATAAAACCACTACACTCCAAAATTATTCCGAAGTTTGGTGGTGCTAGAAGCAGGGGAGGAGGAAGAGGCAGTTCATGTAGAGAAATGTTTGTTTAAAAAACAGAAAGGGAGACACAAAGGCCATTTAGGGAAAAGCAGGGATGACAACCTTTACTGTAAAATAAAACTGCCAATTAATAGTGAGAGTCCAGTAATCAAAATGTAAGGCTTATGTGTCTTCTCAGATCCATAATTATTACCTCCATAAATACTCCTGAGAATCAAATGTCTTTTATTTTCACAAAGTCCCAATCTTCCCATGTGGTATATCAGATAAAACACCACCCCCAACCCCTCCTTTAGATTTCTTTTGCAGGACTTGCCTCATTTCCAGCCCTACAGTTTCTGAGAGAGAAGAGTGCAGTTGGGGTGGGGGAGTTGGAGGCAGCTTCTCTCTCAATCTCTCCCTCCATCTGCCTGTCTCTGTCTCTATCAATCTCAATCACTCTGTCTCTCTCTCTCTCTCTCTCTCTCACACACACACACACACACATACACACACACACACACACACACACACACACACACACTCTTATGTTTCTTTTTAGGCTCAAGCTCCCCCCCATCCCTACCTCCCCCCAGCACATCTGCTTTCTAGTTAAATCCCCTGGAGTCAGACTCCGGGTGAAGAAGTCTCCTGATCTGGGCTGTCCTTCCTCAATAAAACCAAGTTTCAAGCAGATGGGGCTAGGAGTTACTGTCCTTGCCACAGCCCCAGGCCAGCCAGCAGAACGGATGGGTCACTCTATACCAGCAGTTCACCACCATAATTATTTTGCAATGTCTGGAGACTGTTTTGTTGCTGTCAGCACAATCTGGGGAAGAGTGTAAGTGCTAATTGCATCTAGTAAGCAAAGGTCCACTATTCGACATCCTGCAATGCACAGGACAGCCCCACACAACAATCACCTTGCCCAATCGTCAACCTTGCTGAGACTGAAAATCCCTGGGCTACACCAAGCCAGCAACATCCTAGTAACAGGCAGTCTTCCCCCAATACTAAAAATGCTCAAATGTCTGGCAGCCCAGCTCAAACAGATGCGAGAGATCTGATTGCCCTGGGGGCAGGAAGAAGGGCAGAGAGTGATAAGGGAACTGGCTGTCCTCCTGACCAAATTCTGGCTTAGCTGAGTAAGACCAGTGTCCATGGGCAAACCTGGCAAGGCCATGGCACACTAACAACTACCACATGTCAATATTTTTTAACACAACCTGCAGATATACACAGTTTCTTTTTCAGGTCAGTTCCTTCAAAGCAGCCACATTTTTTAAAGCACTAATTGTGTAGGGCTAAAAAGTGTCAATAAACACAGGTATTTAAAAAGAGAAGGAGGAGGAGGAATAGGAGGAAGCCTGTGTTTTTATCAGGTAAGGAAGTCCTAATTCTTTTGGAGTTTGAATGGCAATCTCCACTTCTCTGGTGATTCTTAAAGAAGTCTTTGTTCACAGTCCCTTTGGAATCTGCCGGGGTTCCTTCCCAAAACACACCACTCCTAAAAGAGGTGCAGACTTTCGTGATAACTGACAATACCCAATGTGTTAGGAATCAGAGATCAAAACTACAGATCTAATAACTGTGAAAGAAAAATAGGTGGCCGGGCGCGGTGGCTTGCACCTGTAATCCCAGCATTTTGGGAGGCCGAGGCGGGTGGATCACTTAAGGTCGGGAGTTTGAGACCAGCCTGACCAACATGGAGAAACCTCGTCTCTACCAAAAATACAAAATTAGCCGGAATGTGGTGTCGCATGCCTGTAATCCCAGCTACTTGGGAAGCTGAGGCAGGAGAATCGCTTGAACCCAGGAGGCGGAGGTTGCAGTGAGCCAAGATTGTGCCATTGCACTCCAACCTGGGCAACAAAAGTGAAACTCCATCTCAAAAAAAAAAAAAAAAAAAAAAAAAGGCAGAAAAAAATACCGTTTCCTGATTTAAAAACCAACCTCAAAAGCTATATGTGAAAACAGTAAGATTTGATCCTCTAAATATAACTAATTGCAGACAGGCTTTTACCAAATGTCTTGATTCAAAAAACTACTTACTTATCCTTAATTCAGAAAGCTACTTACTTATTATCTAATTCAGGGGTCAGCACATTTAAAGAGGCAGATAGTAAATACTTTAGGCTTTGTGGACCAAGAGGCAAAATAAAGGGTACTATATACGTACTTACGTAATCCTTTCAAATGTAATCATTTAAAAAGGTAAAAAACATTCTTAGCTCCCAGGCCATTTAAAAAAAAAAAAATGCTGCAGGCCACATTTGGCCCATAATCTATAGTTTGCCAAATCTCAATCTAAAAACGTAGCAAGTCTTTGTAATTTTTACTCATGAAGTCTCACTCACCTTTCTTTTTCCTTTTTCTACAAACAACTTATACAGAATTATATTTTTCCTTTAGTGAGAATTTAATTCATTCTTATATGTTATAGCTGCTGTAACGATAGCCACTCCTAGGAATCACCCATTAGCAGTTCACATTGCCTTTTTAGCGCTCTATCCGAAACACTTAAGAGACCCCTCAACCTACATGCCTAACTGGAAACCCAAATAAAGTAGCCCTTTCACATCTGAGCCAAGGTGGAAGGGAAAGTAGATTTTACCAAATTAGAAGAGCAATGAAATGCACATGTCTTAGGAGTTACAAATGCAATTTCCGTGTCTCACAATTGACACAGAAAGAAACACAAAATACTCAACAAAAACTAGGTAAAAAGTAAAGTTGGTTTTGGGAGACAAAGCATTTCTTTTTGGCAGTGAGATATTCAAGAAGTTAAAAAAATTGTAAAATAAAACTAACTTTGATGAAATGGGAGAGGTCTAAGTGCCACACATTTGTCCTTATTCTCTGCTCACAAAAATTCACCTATTTGTGCAGAATTTATGGAGGGCCAGGTGCTTTCATTTTCATGAGTCAAAAATGGAATGGGAAGACCTAGCCCTGACGTTGCCTTCTACATGGCACTGTTTAATCTTCCCGCTGCTCTATGACCTCACGGATTTATAGTCCCCAATTCAACAGGCTCTGATAAGATGTGGCAAGAAAATAAATCAGAGCCTTTTGCATTTCTTCCTTTTTCACATTTATGAGAAAATAACCTTCAGCAAGAAGCTAGAAGACCAGAATCCTAGTCTGTGGTCTACTCTGGATTACACTGAAATCCCTGGCAGCATCAAGAAGTGGTTAGGAACAAGGTACTTCAATCGGCAAGTCCAAATTTGAATGCCAGATCCATCCATCACTATGTGCTCTGAGAACCTGGGCCAGTCACATCACCTCTCAAGGCCTCAACTTCCCCACCTGAGAGGCAGAGAAACCATTGTTCCGTTCAGAGTATCGATGGAAGAATTAAATGGCACTCCTTGGGAAGTGACTGGCACAGGCTGCCCTTAGTGAGTGCCCAGTAAATGTTACATGTCATCACTGCTTAATTTCTCTGAGTCTCCATGTCCTCCCAGGGTTGCCAAAAGTATCTGAGGAAATAGTTAAAACGGAATGTGTTTTATAATGGAATGTGTTTATAGGCTTTATATACCAAGCCGCCTCCACATGTAAAGTATTAATGTTTCCACTCAAGACAGGTAGGGCCTTGGTATAGCTGAGCCTGTCTCAACTACCCATTGCTGCAGCTTATGAAACATGCTAACATACTCACAGAGCCTGTGCTTGGGGTACTTTCTCACTGCTGAGGTTTTATTTGTGGGGCATCATCACAAATGATGATGATGATAAATTATGTCAGTTACCCAAAAAATATTTTTCAGAGCGCCATCACACCTAAGGTAAAGCAGGAGGATGAGGGTGAAGAGGAAGTAATCAGAGCCTCTCTCAGCATAACCTCCGGACATTCTCACTCCTCCCTGGTGCCTCCCCACACCCCCAACCCTGTCACTTTCTTTTCTCAGCAGGTTTCAAAATGCCTTGTGTCTAATGGCTTTCTGGGGCTCCACCAGTCTCTGTTACCGTAAAAAGCAGTTGATGATACTCATTGAAATGAAAATGGAGTAATTAGCATGTAGCATTCAAACTTAAAAGAATGCATGAGAATTTAAAGATAAGGCAAATGATGCTAAACAGAAAGGAATTTATTTTCCGTGTCATCAGAAATGTGAGGATAAAAATTATGAAAGCCTACTTTTGGATGCACTGTCAGATTACAGAGAGAGCGCTTTTCTGGAAAGATGCTTCATTGACATCCATCCTGCATGGAGTACTCGGAGAAAATGGAACTCAGTGAAAACAAAGGGAATTTGTCTCAAACTAGCATCAGTCAATGAAAATTCCACATAATCTCAAAAGAGATACCATATTCAAAATCAGATGCTTACTCGGGAAAGAGGCACAAAGGAGAAACATTCAATTCTAGTGGTTAAATACTAGTAGGAGTAAATGAAAAGGCATGCCTTAGAATGCTCACGGCCTTGGGGCGTGGTGGTTACAAATTATCAGATGTGTGTGAAAAAAATAAATAAAACTGAGCAATAGTCAGAAATGCCTTGTGTACTTGGGCAGAACGTCACAATCATTTCTTCACCCACATTCTCAACCTTGGCTGCACGGCTCCACCAAGATTTCATCAAACTCAACACATTCGAAGTCTTCCCTCAACCTTAGCTCCTCCTGCTGACAACCCTTGCCTGCCCACTGCTGTACCATATCTGCCTGCACACAGGTCTACAGCAGTTGTCTCTTCCTCCTCAAATCTCCCAGCACTCAGTTCTTAAGTTGTCAAGGTCCTGCCTACAGGTGGAGATGACCTTTCCCTTCAACTTCCATGGCCACCACCCAGATTCACACTCTTGGCAACCTGAATAGCCACAGTATCCATCTAACTTCTCTCCCTGCTTTTGTTCTCTTCCCATCCAATCCACTGTCAACTGATCATCTTCTCTGGTCATGCCATTCTCCAGGTCAAATGCCTTCAAAGGCTCCCCAGAGCCCACAGAGTAAAGCCACTTCCCTGTGTGTGGGCCTCAGAGCCCTCAGTGATCTGAGACCAAACCATCTGCTCAGCTTTATTTCCTTCCCCCACTGAAAGGCAGAGTTTCAGCTGCTCCAAACTCACCGTGCCTCAAACTCTCCACAGTTCCTACCTCTGTGATTTGACTCAGTCATCTGCTCTCCAATCATGCTTTCCCACCAACCCCATGTGCTAAAATTCCTCCTGCCTTGAAGACTGGTTCTACCGTGGATGAAGCCAGTTGTCAGCTCTCCTACCTTTAAGCTGTACAGCATTTGGATGCCATTCAAGGCCTCTCAGTGTACCACCCCAAGAAGCAGTAGCATGCAATGGGGACAGGTACAGAGTCTAGAGTCACACTGCCCAGCTTCCACTCTTGATTGCAGCTTTTGCAGTGTGTGACTGGAGGCAATTACTTACCTCACTCTGCCTCTGTTTCCCTATCTGTGTAATACACATGATGACAACAGTATTTACTTAGCACAGGACAATACTTGATAATTATGAGCTGTTCCTCTTATTGCTCACCTGAATCTCTGAACAAGACCACAAAATTGCCACTGATACTCCCACAGCATCCTCCATAGGGATGCTCAACATATGCCCAATGATGTCCAACACATTTTAGAAAAAAATGAAAGAAGACTGCCAGTTAAAGCTACCTGCAAAGTTTCTTCTCTACTCCAAACATAGAGCAATGATGCAGAAAACATTTTTTAATGGAGCTCATACCAACCATTATGAATTCTTCTGATACTGACAAAATAAATCACAGAGTAATTCTCTAGATATTTTTAACAAATTTTTCACTCATTACAATATTTATTGAGCAGCTACTGGCAATATCTGAGGTCTGGGAATACTGATGGAATGTACTGATCAGGTAAGAAATTTACTGTATTAAAATAGGGAGCAATTGTTAAGTTCTGTAATATGTATAGGAAACAGCCCTTGTAAAAGATCGTGTATATAAAATGTTATGTTTATATGTTTGGGAATAGTTTCTGTAATTAGCTTTGTTGGTAGAAATAGAATGTATTGAATCTGTAGAGACAGAATTAGAAATGCCTGCATCAGCAAAATCATGGCTTAGGTCAGCAGAACTAGGGACAAGCATGTATTAAGGAAATCATGTGGTTTTGAGAAGGGGGACCGGAATGGCATTTAGAAGTTTGGGCAGAGATTATACAGGACAAGTTTGAGCCATCAGTAAAGGTCTGAAAGCTTAAGAAATTCCAGGTAATACCTTTTGCCTTGGTGGATCTCCCACTGTCCTGGGTTCAACCTGGATAAGGAGACCAGGAGACCAATAATTCATGTTACCTCTTTCTCCTGTCTGCCCACCCCCAGCACAGAGGGAGGCCCAGGTCTCCTGGGGGTTTTGCTTGTCCTGGGTTATTAGCAACTGTGGCCTGTAAAGACTTGGGTGCTCTTCTGGCCCTGCTACCAAAGAAGGGCAAGATGCCCAAAAGGATTAACACAGGACATCAATAGGATTAGCAGCAGAACATATACTGCTTCCCATCAAGATCTTACAGCGAGATAAGTCCAAAGACCCCTATCTCTCTTCTAAGGACCAGTCAAGAAAATAGTAAGCAGGGTAAGTATAAGAGGATCTTGGTCTATTAATCCATTTCTTTTTCTTTAATGAGATCAGTTGTGTTTCAAATACTTGATCGCTAAAACTTCTAGATGGAACAATATGTTCTTTGCAGAAAAAGCTAGAGAACAAGGTAAACGTCAAACAATGTCTTATCAAATCAACCTGCATCCAAATACATCAGACAATGCTAGTGAGTAATGCTGAGTTTCGGCCAACCCTTTGGCTCACATTAGCACATCAGTTGGAGTTCCTGCGCAATGGTTTTGGTCTTCCAAGTAAGTTGAGATCATAACCTTTTTGTTGTTGTTTCCTGCCAGACAAAGAAGTGGTTTCACACTCAGCCTTTTCCAGACCACCAAAAGACAATAAGACACTAAAGCAACCCACCCCATATGCAACTCCTGCCAACTCCAAATCTCCTAAAACAATAAGCTGAACAAGGCCAGGAGATGGGGTTTATGTGAGGTCCACCACCTCTGCCTAAGAATGAATCATAAAACCACTAGCACTCCATTCCCCAGCTTCACACTGCCTAGCCCCAACCTACTCGAACTGTGCATAATGAAAATGAAATCAGGAACACACTGAACCTAAAACCTCAAGTACATTTTAAATCTTGTTTTAGATTCATCTATATTAACAGAGGTCAGGCAATTTCTTTATTCAAGCTAAGTTATTCTTACTGGTATAATGACAAAAGTGGTCAGACACATTCTTTCTACTAAAAAAAAAAAAAAAATACCCTGACAAAGTACATTCTAAAACTCAGTAGAGAATATGGAAATAGCTTGCAATAAACTTTGCCTTATAAAATAACTAATGAAGGAAATAACCCAGTTATTTGGCAATGGGAAACAACCATTTGTATATTATTACGTATTTGGTAGGTCATTAATTAGAAGCACTTTTTATTTTCTAGCATAGCATTTTTCAAAAATGTCTTACAAAGAACACCAGTGCAACAAGAGAAAAGCAAGTCACGTAAGTTTGAGAAGCTCTGCCTTCTCTGGTCCCCTTCTTGGAAATGACTAATGCATATTTGCATATTAAAGACTGAGACTGTAACTCTGTGGAATCCCTCATTTCCCCAAGTTCACTTGGCACTGCAACCCTTTTTCTCTCATAACACATATCAACAGCCCACAAAATGGCTGTTCTGCCAAGCACAATTTGGGGAAAATTTCTTCTAGAAATGGGATGTAGGCCAGGCACGGTGGCTCACACCTGTAATCCCAGCACTTTGGAAGGCTGAGGCAGGCAGATCGCTTGAGCTCAGGAGCCTAGCCTGGGCAACATGGTGAAACCCCGTCTGTACCAAAAATACAAAAAAAAAAAAAAAAAATAGCCAGGCATCGTGGCACATGCCTGTAGTCCCAACTATTCAGGAGGCTGAGGTGGGAGGATCACTTGAACCTGGGAGGTAGAGGTTGCAGTAAGCCGAGACTGTGCCACTGTACTCCAACCTGGGTGACAGAGTGAGACCCCGTCCCCCACCGCCCCCCGCAAAAAAAAGAAAAGAAAAGGGACATAGTAAAATGGTTTAAGAGCTGAGACTCCAGAGTCAGGCTGATTCAAACACTAGCTTCACCATTTGTTAGCAGTGTGACATTGGGTTTGTCCCTCTGTTCCCCCAGGTAAGATGGGCAAAGTAACAGCACCTACCTCCTAGGCCATGGGTCTTTCCATCTGAGTGGAACAGTCTTCTGAGATCCTCACATGGCTGGTCCTTTTGGTTATGCAGGTCTCAGTTCATACTGTCACCCCCTCCAAGAGGCCTTCCCTGACAACCCAACATAAAATTAGCCCCACCCACATCACCAGTGCTTCACTCTCTTCTTCATGACACGCCTCTATTTAAACCATAAAATTGTCATCTATTTTCCCCCAATAGAATGTAAGCACCATGAAGGTACATTTTGTTAATTATCATTGCTATATCCCAAAACAGATCTTCAATAAGTATTCATCCAACGAAGGAATGAATGGATGGATTAATGAATGAATGAATGGATGGATGAATGAATAAATGAATGAATGAATGAGATGATTCAGTGTGAATCAACGTAAAGCATTCTTCATGATGCCTGACACATAAGCTGACACATACAGATGCTATTTTGAAAACTTTTGGGGAACCGTGAGTGGTTAATACACACATAATCATAATTCTCCCAATAAGTAACATTATGACTCCACAGTGTATCCTCTTGCTGTATTAGAGGTAAACATTTCACAACATTCATTCAGAGGTGTGCCAGTAAACCAGCTTTCAGGAATGGGCAAGGGAATGGGGAAGGTAGTCCCTAAGAGTAGCATCTTCCAATTTCCATGGTGTAAATACACCAAATATGACCAATTCCAGGCTACGTGTGGTTTAACACCAGGATCATGAGATTCCTGAGAATTTAACAAATGGCTCTCACAGGGCAGTACAACCCTTCTCATGGGAATGATCCTTTCAGGCCTTCAAGTCTTGTTTGCTGAGTTCAAGTTTAACATGAGTCTTTTATATACAGATGTATTTTCCAAATTCTCCCCCTCTTGATGAGCTAAAATAAGGGCTACCTACTCACTTTGGTCTGATGCTCAGGGAAACTAGTTGAATGTATTGGTCTGCACTTTCTGTTCTCCCTTCTGTGTGCTTTCAAACTGGTGTTTAGGGATCTAAACATGATCTATATCCACACCAGACCATTGTGAGAACCAGCCAATCTCAGAAAACCCAAGATGAATTGTGTTTAGATTCATTTAAATGGAGGCAGCCACATAAGGCACCATCTAGTAAGTGCTATCAATGAGCAGAATCTAATTGCAGAAGAAGAATGACTCCACCCTGACCACAAGATCCCAACAAGGAGTGAGAAATGGTGCTGCAGATGGAGATTTCTCTGGCATCACAGCCTTGCTGCCCCTTGGCATCAAAATAAAACAGCAGCTTTTTCCAACTATAGTGATCCTCTATCAACTGCAGTTTTGAGATAACACAAGAAAAATTCCAAAATCCACAGTTAGTCTACATGCAAGTAACAACATGCCAGTAATTGTTGCTCCTCTTCTGTAAACTACATGAGAGGTCTATGAAGTAAGACATGGAGAAAATTACTTTCTGCTCTACTGTATTTGTTATCTATTGCTGTGTAACAAATTACCTTAAAATTGAGCAGCTTAAAAGAGTACACATTTATTATCTCACAGTTTCTGTGTGTCAGGAATCAAGGCACAACTTAAGTGGTTCCTCTGTTTCACAGTCTCTCACAGCCTGCAATCAAGATGTCATCCCAGGACCTGTCTTCTTATCTGAAGCTCGACTGGGAAAGGATCCACTTCCAAGCTCACTAAATGGCTGTTACCAGGTTTCCTTTCTTTGTGGCTGTTGAAATGAGTGCCTCTGTTCCTTACTGAGTGTTGGCTGGAGGCCACCCTCAGTTCCTTACCACATGGGCCTCTCCACATGGCAGCTTGCTTCATCAAAGCATGCAAGCTATGAAGGCAATAGAGTCTGCTAGTAAGATGGAAGTAACAGTCTTATGTAACCTAATCCTGGAAATAACATTGACATTCTGTTAATTTTGCCATATTCTATCATTTAGGAGCAAGTTATGAGGATCAACCAATACTCGAAGAGGATTATATAATGGTGTGAATTCCAAGGAGTAGGGATTATTGGAGGCCATCTTGGAAGTCTTCTCACCACATTCACCCTCTTGGAAGATGGATGGGAAGACCAGGCCCAACCAAAACATCTCTTTAAGCTTTTCAATATGAAACCAAGCCATGTGGTTTCCCAAGCATGTTGGTAAAGTATCATTAAAACGAAACAAGGAAGAATAGGAGTAGAGGACATTAAATTTGCAGACACAAAAGTCTTTTCCTATGTGCTAGGCAAATATAACCCACATCAGAGCAAATTCCTGGGAGCATCTGCACTTTTGCAAATCCCAACATGGAAGCCATGTCTTCCGACCAACCAAACAAGTGACTCACAAGAAGCACCACCATCTGAACAGGTATACTGCCAAGAAATCTAGTTTGGTCTAGAAGGAAATATCTTCTAGAATTTTTATTTATTGCTATAGAATAGTTTGAAAACATATTTAATGCCATTTTATTGCTTGTTATTTTCTGTGAGATCCACGTCTCCCTACAGCAGTTTTGCCTGCATGATACTTTTAAGGTCCATATCCACCACAGTGGCAAGGAACTGCTATTAAAATTTCAAACCTTGGCAGTCATCCACATTTTTTCTAAGCTCTACCCAACCACATATTCTCAGATACACGAGCATCCCAACATTGAATGGTGGTAAAAGGCCAGAGAGACTGCCTCTGAAGGACTTCAAATGATTTAATCTACTAAGGGCAAAACACATACTCAGAAAACCTGTAATACTCTGTCCTAGACAAATGTAAATGCAGACAAAAATTATCTTAACCCTAAACACTCAAAATTGGTCTGTGCATTTTACCATTCTTTCCCATAGGCTTTACTTTCTGCAAATCTCATCCCCAATTCAGTAATAAAAATATTTAGGGTCATTGTGTTGCTAATCCTATTTATTTTTTCCTTTAGAGAGATGATATTTGATAAACAACTAAACTGAATAGTACCATACCTAAAAGACTCTGAAACCACAGCCACCTGTGGGAAAGCAATTGTTTATAAACCAACTTACAGTTGATATGTCCTGTATATGCTTGGATCGCGGATATGTGCTGAATAATAATGGAATGCATGTGCAGTGAGCAAAGACTAATACAAAATTCCAGTTTAATGGTCTTAAGCCGGCAGGAAGGTCATAAAGCAGATGACAAAGGGAATTTTGTTAAGGATGTAGATATCTTCCAACCTGTGAAAATAACTTGATAACATATTTTCACTTATAAATTAAGGCTTTGGGGAAATACAGTGAATGCTCTTACCTCTCTAAGATGTATGTTTTCCTTCTCTTTCTGATCTAAAATCACTTCCAAGTGGCTGACCTGAGACTCAGCCTCTGCCATCCGCCGCGTTCGCTCATTGTCATCCTCCAGGCTTTTGGATGGCAAGCCTTTACTTTGCAACATCTCAAGAAGTTTTTTAATTGACTCATCTCGGGCATTGAGGGTTTGTTTCTGCGTTTCAATTCTCAGCTCCATTTCCTCTAATGTCTTCCTCAAAAGGAACAGCTCCTTAGCCTGCCTGTCATGCTCGGCTTGGAGCCGCCTAAAGTTCTCCTCGGTCAGCTCGATGGTGAAGTGCTCCGCTCCTCGGTTGCCACTCTCTTGCTGGAGGAGGTGGTTGAGGTCTCTCTGGGTTCGCAGCTCATCTTGAAGGGCCTGGATTGTCAACTGTAGGTGCTGCAATGAGAAAGATGGAGCGGGAGAGGAGAAAGAAGGAAAAAAAGTCAATGAAAATGTCAAGTGCCGCTTGCTGCCACCACACTATGAAGATGGAATGTTAATCATGAGGTCCGGAGGGCCAGCCATGAATTCCTCCACGGTGACTTCAGAAGCATGGGACAGCACATGGAGAGGGGGAGATTAATTCAGTGATGCTTTCTGAATGTCTTGAGAGAAGAGAAATGCACACACACACAGAAACAATAGATTAGTGTCAATCACAAGGGAAATTATACATCTACAGAGTTTTAATTTAGGAAATGGAAAAGGTTAGAAGGAAACTTTCACAAACACACCTTCTTTATGCCCAGAATGCTCCAGACTCAGTATTCCTTGTTTCCTAAGGTATTCTTTATTGTACTATCCATTATTTCCCACGATCAATATGTGGTGATTTAAAAATGAAAATAATAGCATCCACTACAAGTAGACACAAACAAAGACTTTATTTTTTACAAATAAAGCTGTGAACAGGTTTAGTAAACAGGATTACTGCATCTGCAAGCAAAAGGGAATAAATGCAGGCACAGACAAACACACTCAAACACACAAGGAGGTGAGGCTGCACAGAGCAGAACAAACAAGCTGCAAAGAGTGGACAAACCTTGGTTCTTCTGGCATCCAGTAACTGAACAGCATGGTAAATGAAAAAAAAATGAAGCAAAAAATCAACACAAAGAAAAGTCCAGTGCAAGCAAAGGATATTTAACAGAAAGAACTTAACACAAAGTACCTTCACAGAAGAAGAAAAAAAAAAAGAAAAAAAAATTCTAATTACAGCAAAGACCCATAAGCTACATGGAGTTTATAGCATTGACGTTTGATAGACATGGAAAAAAAAAAGAAAGACCAAACCTGAGGTTTATCCCACCTTTTGTTTTCCTAAATCTCACTGACCCAGAAACAGAAAGTCTTGAAAGTATTACTAGAGAGGGAAGCAACTGTTATTTTGGGTCACCATTTTAAGCAAAGTCAGAGTGAAAGCACCAGAGAAACAAAATAGTTATCAGATGTGAGAAAAGGCACCCGTGCTTGAAGATAGTTGATGAATTTGGCAACACCTTTCCCCATAGGACAAACCCCCAGGCTGGTCAGAGAAGGCAGCCACAAGCCTGAAGGCATTTCTATCCCTATGGACAAGCCAAGATGCTTCCAAGACAGCAGCTGTTCATTCGCCAAACACATGATCCTGCTTGTGGAATGAACACAGTGCTAAGCACAGGAATCAAGAGGGACATAAGACATAGCTCCTGCCCACAGGGAACTCACAGTATTGTAAGGCATGGGGTAATACTATAAGTTATATGAATATTGGAGCAGTCAACATTTTGAAATCTTTCTGAATTCCTATAGCTGACACTCAGAGGTATTGAGATCTTTCTGAGTGTGGCCTACACCCAGAAACTAGCACTGGGTGATGCACCATCTTGATTATATTGTTTCTGGGTATCCAATTCATATTCCCATTTATGAATGTCCATTGAGAAATTATTAGAGCATTCTCATCTGTATACCACAGTGCCTCTCAGGGTATTGAATGCAGAGAAAGAAACTGATATGTATTTAATGATGGAGGTTATTCATTTTTAATACAATGCTCCCCTATAAAGTGTAACATACAAAGTTGTACAACCATCAACACAATAAATTTTTTAACATTACCTCAGAGACACCTCATGCCCTTTAGCAGTCATTCCCCATCTCCCTCCCTTTCCCCAGGCCCTGGTAACCACTGATTTACTTTCTGTCTTTATGCCTGTTATGGACCTTTCATATCAATGGTATCATGCAATAAGTGGTTTCTTTCACTTAGCATGTTTCCAAGGTTTATCCATGTGGTAGTGTGCATCTGTACTTCGTTCCTTTTTATGGCTGAATAATATTCCATTGAACGAATATACCACATTTTATGTATCCATTCATCAGTTGACTCAGACACAAATATTCATAGCAGCAACATTCATATTAGTCAAAAAGTGTTAACAACCCATTTGTCAATCAACTGGTGAATGGATGAAATCTAGTATATCAATTTAATGGAATATTATTCAGCCATAAAAAGGAATGAAGTGCTGACATACAGGATAAGATGGATAAATCTGAAAACATTATGCCATGTGAAAGAAACCAGTCACAAAAGACCACATATTGTATGATTCCACTAATAGAATGTCCAGAATAAACATATCCATAGATGGAGAATAAATTAGTGATTGCTGGGGGGTGTGGAGTAAATGGGGGGACTCTAAAGGGTATGGGGCATCTTCTAGGGTGATGAAAATGTTCTCAAGTTAGATAGGGGTGTCCTTTGCACCACTTTGTGAATATACTAAAACCAACGAATTTCACACTGTAAATGAGTGAATTGTATGGTACATAAATTATATATCAACAAAGTTGTCACAAAAATCATGAGGTGGGACCATAAAGTAATCTAACCTTCCTCTACCAACCCGCTGTCCTTAAACCACATTAGAACAGAGTCCACAGGAGTATCCGCAGCCTTCAGCCCAGAGATGCGGCTGCAGCCAAGACTCTTGAAAGAGTGCTTTGGCAACTGTCTTTGAGGCATTTTATATATCTATATATATATACATATATAGCTAGATAGGTAGATAGTTTTTTTTTGTTTTTTTTTTTTGTTTTTTTTTTTGTTTGTTTGTTTTTTGAGACAGAGTCTCGTCCTGTCGCCCAGGCTGGAGTGCAGTGGCGCGATCTTGGCTCACTGCAAGCTCCGCCTCCCGGGTTCACGCCTTTCTGCTGCCTCAGCATCCCAAGTAGCTGGGACTACAGGTGCCCGCCATCACGCCCAGCTAATTTTTTTGTATTTTTAATAGAGACAGGGTTTCACAGTGTTAGTCAGGATGGTCTCGATCTCCTGACCTCGTGATCCACCTGCCTTGGCCTCCCAAAGTGCTGGGATTACAGGCGTGAGCCACCACGCCCAGCTAATAGATTTTTTTTTTTTTTTGAGACAGAGTCTCACTCAGTCCCCAGGCTGAAGTGCAGTGGCATGATCTTGGCTCACTGTAACCTCCACCTTCTGGGTTCAAGTGATCCTCCCACCTCAGCCTCCCAAGTAGCTGGGACTATAGGTGTGCGCCACCACACTCAGCTAATTTTTGTATTTTTTGTAGAGATGAGGTATCACCATGTTGCCCAGGCTGGTCTCAAACTCCTGAGCTCAAGTGATCCACCTGCCTCAGCCTCCCAAAGGGCTGGGACTACACTTGTGAGCCACTGTGTCCGGCCGTCATTTAAATATTCTTGACCATGGCAAATCTTTGTCCTTTGAAGGTGGCTTGGATTTCTGAGATGATCCAGGTTTATCTGGAGTCAAACATCATGAATTGGGATGATCACAAAGGAAATGATCTTTTCTGAGCATAACCAAAAATAAGATTGGTCTTCTTAAGATTCGTAAACCAGCCAGAAGGAAATTCCAAAGAAAAACTGCCAAATGCTTTGAACAGAAACAGCAACATTGGAAAGACCACTCTGTGAGGGAGCTGCCCCTTTGAATGGACACATTCCTTATTGCCCTGATCCTTTGTCCCCACATCTACGCAGTGGGGATAATCATAATGCCTACTATAGGGTTCCTGTGGGCAATAATGAAGATAAGGTGGCAAGTGCCAGGTTTGACAGCAACGGGAGGGAGGAAGGATGGCAGAAGTGAAGGAAGATAAGAAAGAAGAAAAGCAGGAAAGAAGAAAGGGAGCAGAGGAGAATGGAGGGAAAATTGGTCCATTTATCCATTCAATATACAGTTACTGAGTATCTCCCTCATACTCATGAAATACAAAAAAAAAAAAAAAGAAAAACAAAAGAAAAAAAATAGCCCATATTCAAAGTCTATGTGGACAAGTAAACCAATAGAAGCAACACTATGTCATGAGGGTTACAATAGAAGTCATAACCAGGTGGCTAGAAATGCAGAGAGGAGGGAACCCAGGCTAGGGGCATGTAGGAAAACATCCCAAACCAAGAGGCCACCAATAAACTATGTCTTATTTGAAGGGCAAATGAGAGTCATCCCTGTGAAGAATGATGGAAAGAGAAGAGAAACTGTAAAAGCAAAGAGGTAAGGACAGACCAGATCTATTAAGAAACAGTGAAAGCAAAAATCTGTATATCATTTGTAATACCACATGCCATGCATGGTCCTAAGGTGTCTTAATCCTCAGAACCACCCTAAAAGGTAGCAACTGTTATGATCTCCACTTAATGCATAAGAAAATGGGGACAAAAAGTACTTAAGTAACCTGCTCCCAGTCACCCACCTACGTAAGTGGTACAGCCACAGGTGTTCATCCAAACACTTTGACCCCAATGCCCCTGTTCAAACCACGACATCATTGGCCTCTGAATTGGGACAAATGCTTCAAGATGGCAGGAGAAAAGGATGGGGAGGGGAGAAGTAGTAAAAGCAGACAGGTAGGCATTTATAACAGAAATAGAAATTCTCAAAAATAAGAATTAGCCATCTTGGCTGGGTGTGGTGGCTCACACCTGTAATCCCAGCACTTCGGGAGATCAAGATGGGAGATCACTTGAGGCCAGGAGCTCAAGACTAGCCTGGGCAACATAGAGAGACCCCATATCTATTTAAAAAGAAAGAATTAGCCATCCTAACCAGGCTGTTCCTTATTCAGAAGTGGTTACGATGGATGCTTCCAGGCTGTACATTTATTAAGAAGCAAAATCTATTTTTCAGGTAGTCACACTATTAGTCACTAAATGACTTCAGCATGATGAAGCAATCTCATAATCACCATAAAATTTAGTGTTCAAAATTTTCTCAAATTCATGTTTATATTTTCATTTTCTTTTAATTTTTCATTTTCTTTTAGTTTTCATTTTCTTTTAATTTTAAGATATTCAAAATCAAATAGGAATCTTGTTCCTACAAAAAAGATTTTTGAGGAAAATACATACCTTGTAGATCCTTGATCATCCTTTTGCTTTACATAATTGAAGACGGGGAGGGGATGTGAAGTAATCTTATCCATCCTCCCTCTCCCCTCTTCTCTCCCCCTCCTACTCTCTTCTTTCTCATTGTTCTACTTTTTAGCAATTCAACTCAATCAAGTTTCAAAACTCATTTACCAAGCTGGGCACAGTGGCATATGCCTATAGTCCCAGCTACTTGGGAGGCTGAGAGGATCACTTGAGCCCAAGAGTTCAAGACTAGCCTGGGCAACATAGGGAGACCCTGTATCTAAAAAAAATAAAAATAAAAAAAAAAATTACCAGATTTTCAGTTATGTATTTAACATAGACAATTTCAATTATAAAATATAATAAGAGAAATAATCCATAGAAATTGATAAACTTTCTGTGCCTCGGTCTCCCCATTTGTAAAAGGAGGAGAGTAGTAATTCCTTCTACCTTGGAATCATTAAATTTAATGAGGATAAATCATTTAATGGGGATTAAATGAGTTAATACATATAAAGCTCTAGAAAGTACCACATGCAGAGTAAGACATCAATCAGGATAGGCTTAGGATATGCTGCAGTGACAATAGCAACAAAAAACTATATTCAGAAAGACATAAACCATCTGCTGCCAGGGAATAGGAACATTCAGAACTCAAAGAAACCTTAAAGACTGCCTTATTAACCTCATTTTATAAACAAGAAAATTGTATCCACACAGATGAAATGACAGGCTCAAGAGCAGATACACACTGACAAAGCCAGAATCTGGGTTTCTGGGATCCTGGACTCAGTCCTGGTATGTATTTCAATAACCCTAAGAGTAGACCAAAAGGGGGTAACTGTACACTTTGACTAGGAACTTTGACAACTGTACACTTTGACAATGTAGGAAATGGCCATGGTGTCTCTGACAAGGAGGATGAGAGATACCTAAGTCACTTCACTTCCATGTCACCGGGTCCTATCCAGTAGTTAAATCACATGGAATGATCCAAGGACAATTTATTTAAGACTTCTTTTCTAAGTACTCAGAATTAGACTGTGTAAATATTGGAAGACATATTCAATAAAAACTAGCTCTAAAGGACCAGGATACAATACAAGTGAACGCTCTAGCAAAGCCACAGCACCTTCTCTCTGAGTGAAAGGTACGAAAAACTGCAGTTTTCAATTTCCTCCTCCAGAGGGGGTTCCTTCAAGCCAAATCATCTACCCTTTCCCAACTATGAAAACACACTTCTTTTAAGACAGTCACCCAAACTCCACTGGCATTCATTTCATCTTGTTACCTACAGCAAGTACCTACAAACCAGAATTTGCATGACTGTATTCTAGGGCCATCTCTTTGGAATCTCCCAGGCATCACTGTGGTCTCAACTTCTGAAAGCTTCAGTCATTCTTTCTGTGGCTTCCATTCCACTGCACATCAGGACAGAGACCTTCCAATACCCACTTGCACTAGGAAAGGACATTACCAGGTGATCCAATCTCATGCCTGGGTCCCAGTCAAACTGCTGTCAACTTAGCACTTACAGCACAGCTTAGCGCTTATGGCAAAACAGCTAATTCTCCTCAAGTGCAAAGTGAGTCTGTGGTTGAATGAGGGCTCAGAAAGGTTTTTACTCGCCACCCTGTTTCTGGGATCATTCTCCAGTTGTCTGCAAAGATTCAAAATTCAAAAGGCAAACTCCATTCTCCACTGTCTGCCACTGGAAAGATACCCTGGAGGAAAGTAAAGCAACTGTGACAATGGGAATCCAGGATGCTGTCTGCAGTCACTTTGCTAGGAGCACAAATAGAATTTTTTACATTTATCCTGATACTTGGCTTTTAACCCAATCCTGTTTAGCCTTTTTCCAAACTTAGTTGCATACTTTAAAGTCTCCCCTGGATAGTAAAGACTAGCCCCATCTCCAGTCCACAAAAGGGAAAAAGCTTAAAATGACTCATCTGTGCATTAAAAATACGCAAATGGAAGGGGAGATAAATAGCTTGGTGTGTCCAATTTATTCCCAGTTTCAAACATGCAGCTCTGGTATACCATCCCAGGACAATGAAGGAGGTCATAATGACTTCCATTTCTAGGCTTCCGGGAGACTGCATTTTCTGATAGGCCCTCCTCTACACTACAGCTAGATAAGAGCAAATATGCTTTTCAAAGCATAGTTGAGCTTACAAGGAAGTAAGGGAAATCTCCAAGGGAGGGGTTGTGGGAGAGAGCACTCTCTGGTCTCTCTTCCTCTTCTTATAAGGAGCAAATGCCAATCTAAGCACTGAGCTTGAGAGAGCGAACTGGGACTCACTGAAGCGAGGGAACTGAGATTCTTCTAGCAAGCCCATATTTGCAGAAGGGTTGAATGTGGTCCTAAGTGCCCCCTGGCGCCTAACAGATGCAAATGCAAATCCTTGTAAGGGGGACAGGCAGTGGGTGGGCAAGGACTGGGAGAGGCGATTAGGCAGAGAACAAAAGCCCTCAGGAGTCCAAAAAATTCAGATTAATGAAATACAAGCTTACAATAAAAAATTACCACAGACACAAGGAAACTTCCACGAGTGATGGCCATATGCAAAATATAAGGTGTTTTTGAAATGTTTAAGAAAATAAATAAATATTTCAGCAGAAATATAGAATTGAAGAATCAGCATGGAAAAGTGACTCTCCAAAATTATCAACCAGATCTGAAAAAGAATAAAAATATACAGCAATGAAAAATAAAGTATTTAAAGTGAAACCTAACAGATGGGGTAAGAAAAAAGAGAAAACTAGTGAACAAAGACACAATGGAGATAAGCCACAAACAAAATGATGCTTCTTTGAAATGACTAATAAAACAAGCCTCTTCAGAAATGAGTACACATAGGAAATATTTAAAAGGTGATATGAAAATACTGTTAACTTTGGGCCAACAAATTTTGAAATGTCAAGAAAATGGACAAACGACTAGTCATATCTTACATAATCTGACTCTAGAAGAAACAGAAATCCTGAAGAGTTCTGCAGCTATTAAATAAATAGAATCAGAATTTTAAAACTCTTCCTGCAAAGAAAGCCCAGGTGATTCCAATTTGCAAAAACTTTCAGATAAATGGAAAGTCTTCATTCTGTGAGACTTGATCATCTTGACACCAAAGCTAGTAGGCATGAACTATACAAGAAAGGTACCTTCTAGTCCAAACTTCACACTTAGACGATGAGTATTATTAGCAAGTGGAATACAGGGATATATTAAAAAGGTAATACATCATGCCCAAGATGTGTTTCTCATAGGAATTAGAGGATACTTCAGCATTAGACAAAGTATTCTATAAATAATGTTAACAGAGTAAAGATGAAAAATAATTATGATCAGCTCAAGATATAAAGTCTTAGTGTTTTCTAAAAATTGTTACAAACTAGAAATAAAGAGGAATTTCTTTAACTTATAGAGTATATCTGCTGCAAACTGACAGTATCATTCTTAATGGTAAATGTTAGAAGCATGCCCCTTAAAATGAGAAATAAAATTACGCTATTATAAGCACCACTTGTAGAATGTTGCATCAGCCTTCTCCTGGAGGCTTAAGTTAGGACAGTAAGACCAGAAAATAAGGAGAAAAAAATAATAATTCAAAAGAAGGAAAGTTCTATTATCATCAATTGTATTATGTGGTTTTCTACTTAGAAAACCCAAAAGAATCTATAAATTATTAAAAATAAGAAAGTTATTTCCTTATCAGCAGGGCACAAAAAATGTAGCCATAAAAAGAAGAGTAGTAAATTTGACAATGTTAAAATTAGGAATTTCTGTTCAACAAAAGATACTATAAACAGAATGAAAAAACAATCCACAGTTGAGAGATGATGCTTGCAATACATTAAAATGACAAAAAATTATTATCAAGAATATATATAGAATTCCTATAATTCAATAAAAAAGTACCAACAGTTAATTGAAAAATGCACAAAAGAAATGAGCAGGCATTTCACAGAACAGGAAATACGATCAGCCAATAAACATATGAAAAGATGTTCAATCTTATTAGTAATCAGAAAACCACATGAGCCATATGGAAGCCACAACAAGAAAGCATTTTATACCCCACTCTCTTATCCACACACACACACACACACACACACACACACACACACACACACTATAATAATCATAATAGCAGCAGCAAAAATAAATAACAATAGCAAGTACTGACAAGGATGTTGATCAATAAGAACTCCTAACACAGCTGCTGCACGTAAACTAGTGCAACAATGCAAGAACTCACCATGCATATCCTCACCCAGAAATTTTACCCTTAGGTACCTGAATTTGCCATACCTGAAGCCGGGATGGCAAACTACGGCCTAAGGGCCAAATCTGGCCTTTTGCCTGCTTTTGTAAATAAAGTTTTAGTGGAACACAGCCATATCCATTGACATATATATTGTCTTTTTTTTGTTTGTTTGTTTTTTTGAGACAAAGTCTCATCTGTGGCACAGGCTGGAGTGTACTGGTGCAATCTCAGCTCACTGCATCCTCCACCTCCCGGGTTCAAGTAAGTCTCATGCCTCGGCCTCCCACGTAGCTGGGACTACAGGCATGCACCACCATGCTGGCTAACTTTTGTATTTTTAGTAGAGACGGGGTTTCTCCGTGTTGCCCAGGCTGTTCTCGAACTCCTGACCTCAAGTGATCCTCCCGCCTCGGCCTCCAAAAGTGATGGGATTACAGGTGTGAGCCACGGCTCCCAGCCTTATATATTGTCTATTGCTACTTTTGTAGTACAATTGCGAGTCAAGCAGCAGACACCATATGACCCATGAAATCTAAAATATTTACTAACTGGCACTTTACAGAAAAAGTCTGCTGGCCCCTGCCCTAAAGAAATACTTGTACATGAGCACAACAGACACATACAAGAACATTCAGTACAGCACTATTCCTAATAGCAAAAACTAGAAATAGTCCATCAACAGGAAAACAGATAAATTATGACATAAGCATGTAATGGGATGTTAGATTATTGTGCAAAAGAACAAATGACAGCTACATGCAGCAGGAATTTATCTTAAAAGAATATTGAACGGAAGAAGTAAAAACAGAGAATATATACAACATCATCTCACTTAGACAAGGTTCAAGGGCATGATTATCATAACACAGAAGAAGAAATAGAAACTGAGAAGCACTCATGTGTAACATCAACAGGATGGGTAATTTTCTCAGGTGGGGCAGGGAGGCTCTCCAGGTGTTCATGTTAGTATTATATACCATAATTTACATACGTGTTCTTTTGTACCTATCCAACAGCATAGAATAATCTCCTTGGATGAACCTGTGGGAGGAGTATAATATAGTGTGTAACAGCCCAGACTCTGGAGCCAGGCTGCCTGGTTCCAATCCCAGCCCTATCACTTTCAAGCTGTGTGATCTTGAGAAAATGTCTCAGCATCTCTGAATCTCAGATTCCTCATCTGTAAAACAGGGATGCAAGACCTACCTTACGTCACAGAGTACACACAAATCATAACTTCAGTGGCAAGCATGAGCTCACAATATGCTCAGCATCACTCCCCACGTATCAGCAGAGCCTGTGCCTACAGCCATCCTCCTTCACCCTGCATGGTTGAATCAGAGGCCAGAGCCAGGGCACTGTGATACACACTGGCCCTGGTGCAGAGGTGCACTGATGGATTATCACAGGATCCAGACAGGAAGGTGGCCTACCAAGGGCAGGGGGTGTAGGATATAGTCTCATAATCATGATGTTTGGCTAGAAAATGTCTGCACATGGCTCCTAAAGTGAATTCACAAAGAACGAGAAGCCAACTTCAACATCAGCAGCACCTGAAATCATCACCTACCAGGTCAACAAGAAAAATGTATATATTTTTTGCCTTTCCAAAGTAAAGAAGCAACCTGAATCCTTGCGTCTTATCTCAATTTATCTTTTCCATGCAGTGCACAATTACAGTGTAGGGAGGAAAGTATGGGTTTTGAGCAATATTGGCTGAGAGTCTCTCAATTACCAGAGCTCAGTTACTGAATCTCCCCTAAGCCATAGTTTGGTCATCTGTAAAGTGGGGATAACAGTGTAGACCTCACAATGTTATTCAAAGGCTTCAGTGAGACACTGTGTGTTCCTCTAGACAAGCCCTCAAGAAAAGCGAGTCCTCAACTTCAAATACTGGTGACATTGGAGCCAAAATGCCAAGACCATTAACCTGGTGTACTTCTTTAACCAATCAGGCCACTGAAACATTAAGCATCCTCATGGCTTTTACCAGACTGTGTTTCAATAGTGTTTCCCCAAATACGTTCCCTGAAACAGCATTCTGCAGATGTTAATACGTGTTCTGTTGGGGGAGTAGTGGAAAGGAAGGGTTCTATTGTCATGTATCATATAATCATGTATTCACTATACACACACTTGCACACACACACACACACACACACACACACACACAGAATGACCCTCTCAAGGACAGTTTCTAATTTTCATAATGAAGTATAGAAGAAAGGTGAGAGGACCAGAGGGAAACTGTCTCACCAGACCGTCGGCACAAGGGAACAATTTCAGAGAGAACAGGTTTCCATTCCTCTTTGCTTAGCTATAGCTAGATTGAGGGGCTGGGGGTGCAGAGAGTTTCCTTAACCTTGGATTACTCTGTCCTGTCCTCTCCATCAAAACTCACATGCCTCACATCCACCACTCACTCATCTGACAATACTGCTCCAAAGCTGCCAACACTATGTCCACTTCACAAGAGCATAAATTGTGGTGGCTTAGGGGATTTGACTGCAATCACATCATTAGCAGATACAGGCCAGTGTCTAAAATTGAGGTTTCCTCCAGCCAATTCTACAGTCTCCCCTGCTCTAAAAATACTACAGAATTTCATCTTGAACAACTCATATAAGCTCCTATATTCATTCAGTTCTGAAAGAAGTTACAATGAAAATACAAGAAACTAAGCCCTACTTGAGTTTATATAAAAAAGAAGGAAAAATACACTTTGCCTTAGCCAACGTTTATAAGAGTGACTTCCAATAGCTACTGGAGTCAGAATCTAATCCAGATCTCAGAAGTCTAAAACACAGAAAGGTAACTAGAATGAAAATATAATTATATATGTATGATGTGCATGGAACACACAATTATTTAAATAGGGAATAGCCAGATGTTTAGAATCTACTGTGTCTTATCTCCAAACATGGAAAATATGAGCTCCTGGCAGGTTTGAAAAACTGTGTGACCTTAAGCTCTTTTCCACACTATGGGGAAAAAACAAAAATGATAAAGTTTTGCACTGTAAAGCAGCTTAGGGTTTCATTGCTATGAAAACCGTCTCCAAGCTATATAAAAATATGAATTGGCTTATATCCAAAAGTCGTGAAGTTTTTTTTTTTAATAAATCCATACTCCTTCTCAAGCAAGTACTTACCATAACTCTTTCAAAGAAAACAGAATCTCTTTGCAGACAACTTGGCCTGCTTTACTTCTCCTGTGACTTTATTTTCTTATTAATCACTTCCTAGTTTGTCTGTAATTAATGTGAAGGGCAGGTTCTCTGATCCCTTTCTCTGTAATCCTATGTACAGGCTGTACAACACTCTTCATGACTTCAAATCTTCCTTAGGCTGTGTCATGTGTGTGAAAAGACAAACAGCAGACCAGCTGAAAACATGTGGCCCCAGTGTGTGGTGGAAGAGTTGGCCTGCTGAGGGAGGTATAAAAAATTAATATTTAGACATATGGTCTAGCCTCTAGGCTTTCTCTTTTGGGGTAGAATACCCCAAGGAGAAGCACATATAACTAAATAAAGAATATGGATAGGTGATTTTTAAAAGCACTGGGACTCTGGGTTCCTCACCCACACACTGTCATTGATAACTGCATAACTCACTTTGGTTGATAATATGTGACGTTTTGCCAAGATTCATAGCACTAAGAACAGTATACATGGGAAAGCCCTCTTGGCAGTTGCTTTTGTACACAAAGAGGAGTTCTGGTTTTCATTACAGACCAATACTCTAAGGTGGCACAATATTGGAATACTGCACTGAGCTTAGAGTTAAGGACTTAAGTTCTAATTCTAGCTTTGCAACTAACCAGTTACGTGATCTGGGGAAAAATCACTAAACTTGTCTCAGCTTCCGAGAACAGTGGTGAAGAGTTGAGTTTTGAATCCTGGATCTACCCATGACAGCCTGTGATGCCTTGAACAAATTACTTAAGTACTCTGAGCATCAGGCTACTCATCCGTAAACAGGAAATAATAATTGTAACTCACTACAGGGTTCATACAAACACCACAGGAGATGCTTACTGAGTGAGCAAACAAGTTCCCTTAAAGCCTGAAGCACAGGGCTTGGCACATAATGAATGCTCCACAAATGTTAGCTATTTTCATTATTTTGAGACACTGGTGGTGGCTAGAGGCCTGGAATTAAAATTTCTGTCCTCCCTCCTCCGATTTGGGCAGGGAAAAGAAACGGGCATAATGAACATAAATCTTTGATTATCAAATAAATGCAACAGTGGGAAACAAAATGCTAAGCGCTTTGGCATTTTTTTAAATAAGAGAAAAAGGGAAATAGATGTTTTAAGACCAATTCGAAGATGGATATAATTTATTTCACATTAACTGACCTGTAAATAACTCTACAAGGGACTCTCAGGAATACCAACCATTTCTGTTTTGAAGGTCAGTGTTCTTTCCCTGTTGTTAGCCAGTAATCCACAACCAACTAAAGGATAATGGCATGCCCTGTTATCAACACTTCTCAACCTGATACAGGTTACAAAAAAAACTACAGTTTAAGAAATACTGGTATTTTAAAAATGTGTTGAGAAGCTACCCCAAACGTGTAATGATAGAAACGATAGCTAAAATAGAAACGCTTATAATATTAACAGTCACAGCCATATACAGTTATTATAGGACGGCTCTTTCATTTAACTGCTTAGCAAATGTTTAATGCCAATGATGTTTTAAAGGTTTTATTGAAATTTCCTTCCCTGTCACTTCCTCTTCACCCTCCAACATGTTCATTTAGCAAAACTGCTAACCATCTAAGTACTTTTCAGAATTGTAAGATGTCTTACCTAAATTAATATCATTTCAAATAGCTGGGTGGCAGGCATTGAACTATATTAACTTTCCCCTACTCTGAGCTGCCTGGGTTCATCAGCCAAACTCTAGTCCTTGCTACTTTAAAGTTTTAAAGAGGAGAGATTTTCCCCATGTACCCTCCCTGCTTCTCTCTACTTCTTGAGTCACTCCAACCCTGAGAAGGGAGAATAACAGACCTCCATGCTACTCAGAGGATCCTTGGACCAAAAGCATCAGCATCACCTGGGATCTTGTCAGAAAGGTGGGATCTCAGGTCTCACCTCAGACCTGCTGAATCAGAATCTGCATTTTAACAAGACCCACAGGTAATCTGTAGTCACATGAAGGTGTGAGAAATGCTTCCCTAAACTTAAAAAAAAAAAGTTTCAGTTTTACTACTGATTTAAGATTATTTGGTAATGGAAAGTTAGGGAAGGAAAGCACTCTGAACACAATGCTGTAGGATAGTCCTGAGAAACAGACTGAAAAGCCAGTGTGTGTGATTAATAAAGTCTGAGTAAACTATGAGTGGCGCCCCCAATGCAGGACACTACTAGATAAAGTGGGTCATTCACTCATTGATTTAACCATTGTTGAACTATGTACTATTTTTTTTACAGATCATAATAGATGTTGATATTTTCAGGGCACATGTGATAATTTAACACATTCATATAATTTGTAAAGATGAAATCAGTGTTCTTGGGATATCCATCATCTTCTCTCTCTCTCTCTCTCTCTCTCTATATATATATATATATATATATATATATATATATACACACATATATATAATTTTTTTTTTTAAGACAGAGTCTCACTCTGTCACCCAGGCTGGAGTGCAGTGGCGCAATCTCGGCTCGCTGCAAGCTCTGCCTCCCAGGTTCAGCCATTCTCCTGCCTCAGCCTCCCAAGTAGCTGGGACTACAGGTGCCCGCCACCACGCCCAGCTAATTTTTTTGTATTTTTAGTAGAGATGGGGTTTCACCGTGTTAGCCACGGTGGTCTCAATCTCCTGACCTCGTGATCCGCCCGCCTCGGCCTTCTAAAGTGATGGGATTACAGGCTTGAGCCACAGCGCCTGGCCAATATTTTTTTCTTTATGCTAGAAACATTCAAATTATTATTCTCTAGCAATTTTGAAATGTATAATAGATTATTGTAAACTATAGTCACCCTACTGATCTATCGAACCCTATGTCTATTTCTTCTATCAAACCATGTATTTTTACCCGTTAATCAACTCTACCAAGATACCTTTCCAAGTCAAAAAGGAAATCCTGCCAGGTTAAATTATATACATATAAATGTGTGTGTGTGTGTGTGTGTGTGTGTGTGTGTGTGTGTATAAAATTATATACAATTGGCTCTCCATATGCACAGGTCCTACATCTGAGGTTTCAACTAACCACGGGTTAAAAATATTTGAGGGAAAACAAAAAATAATACAACAATAAAAAAAGAAAAAATATAGCATAAGAACTATTTGCATAGCATTTACACTGTGTTAGGTAGTATAAGTAATCTAGAGATGATTTAAAGTATCCAGGAGGATGTGTATAGGATATATGCAATACTACGCCATTTTATGTCAGGGACTTGAGCGTCCACAGATTTTGGTATCTGTGGGAGTCCTGGAACCAGTCCCCCACAGATACCAAGAAATGAGTGTGTATGTTGTTTACTATTTCTAAAGATTCCATAAATACTGAATTTTAATTCTGTCCTGCTACTTATTGTTGTCATAATTTAAAGAACAATCCAAGAAGACCTTTAAAAATTATCCGATCGATGCCAGAAGCTAGGAAGGGTGTGTGGGTGAAAAGGAAGATGAGGAGAGGTTGGTCAATGGGTACAAACATGTAGTTAGAAAGTATAAATTCAAATGTTTGAAAGCAGAATAGAGTGGGTGATCATAGTTAGCAACAATGTATTGTATATTTCAAAGTAGCTAGAAAAAAGAATTTGAAATCTTCCCAACATATAAAAATAAATACTCAAGATGATGAAGTATTTACCCTAATTTGATCATTACACATTCTATGCATGTAACAAAATACCACATGTATCCCATAAATATGTTAAATGCTATGTATCAATTTAAAAATAATAAAACAATTAAAAAGTCATCACAATGCCAGTTCTAGGCATTACACTAAACTGTTTTGCTCATTTGTGCTTTTAAGCAGCATTTCTGTAGCATGTCTGTGCTCTCGGTGGAATTTTAAGTGACTGGGAAAACCATGAGGAGTCTGTGATAAATCTTTTTCATTAATTATAACTTGAATAATGTACAGAAAAAAATTGAATATGTGAATATACTGGTTCCTAATTAGCCTAATAATTCAAATTCTCTAAGGTTTTCCATTTTATTAATGAACTAGAATCAAAGGCCTGTATCTTTTTCTTTCTCTGGTGTGAAGATAAGCTACCTACTGCTATATCCACACAATGCCTATGGTCCTTAATATTTAGTGAATATGTATATTCATATATATATATATATATATATATATATATATATATGGGGTGGGAGATGAGTGAATGAATAAATAAATGAAAGAATATGCCATACCCCATAAACAAAAATGTGTCCAGCATACCATAAAAAAGTAATATGAATGGACAAAAAAAAAAGAGAGGAAAATATACCACAGTGATCATTGCTGGGGAGAGGAGGATGGGGAAATGACTGCTAAAGGATAGGGAGTTTTTAGGAGAGGTAATTAAATTAGAGTACTTAAAGTTTTAAATTAGACAGTCGTGATGGTTTCACTACTCTGTGAATATACTAAAAATCACTGAATTGTACCATTTAAAAGGGTAAATTTTATGATACATGAATTATATCTCAATAAAGCTGTTAAAAATGATGGGAGGCGAGAGCATTACGGATGCCTTCCTATTTCCCATTTTCATTCAGCAAATATTTTTTCCAAGAATAACTTATTTACTCATCATCGCTAGGCTAGTTAATATTCTTTGGGTTGCAAGCAACAGAAAACAACTTGGCCTGTCTTGAGCCACAGAAGGGAGTGCATGAGAAGGATATCAAGACATCTCCCCGAATCAAAGCAGCAACTGTGAAAACAAGACCCAAGAAAAGAAGGAAGCAGTACGCAGCATGAATCTCTGTGAGAAGCTTGGTTCCATGTTACTTGGTTTCAAGGACTCCCTGCTCCAAATTGAAAATACCCAGGATGGAGTATAGAATTAGCCTGGCTTGGGCCAAGTGTCTTCCAAGCATCAATAGGCTGTGGCAGCTGACCCTCACCATCAGAAGCTACTCCAAGAGGAAGAAGAGTTGCTTAAAGGTCCACAGCAACCCCAAGAAGAATCTACTACAATTGCTATTCTGATTAAAGAAAAAAGAAGCAATATAAATGATATGACAGTGCTATGATTATGTTTCTTTGGAGTAGGGGATTCCTAAAGTACCCTTTAGGACTATATATAAGACTCAGGTGAACTGCATGATAAAGATGTAGCCATGCCAGTTCAACCTTCTGACATGCAGTATTCGGTTTTCTGTTCCTGTGTTAGTTTGCTAAGGATAATGGAAAGTTTTAAAGATTTGATTTACTATCCCAAATTAAGATCTCTGACTATGACATCAGACAGTCTGGGGCCAAAAGCCTGGTCACTCACTAGTTATGGGGTCAGATAACCTTGAATGGGCCTCCAATGTGGTCATACACTAGCTTTAAGGTCATATAACCTTGCGGAGGTGGGGGCTGTGGGATATTGGCAGGTTATTTTCGCTAAACCTCAGTTTCCATCTCTTTTAAAAGCTGCTAATAACACATCTTGCAGAAGCATGATAAAGTTAGATGATAACACATGCCCAATACTTACTTATGCCTGAAACTTAGTAAGTACCCTAGCCAACAGGAAGCCATCATTTTCAAGCTCCTACTATTATTAATATACAAATACAGATTGCAAACTGTTCCAGAATGCAGTGCAAACAGGTGAAACTGCAATTCCAGTGGGTGGGGGGGTGGGGTCAGTGAAATAATGTTTGGCTGTGTCTATACAAAGAAAATCTTTCAACCAGAGAAACTTTTTAGTTTGGCCACTTCAAGTGCTAACTTGAAGCAAATAAAGCAATAGCACATAAAATAGCACATAAAAAAAAAGAATAACCCTAGATTTTGCCACAAGCTGGTACATGCATTTTAAAGAGACAGCAAATATTTAACATCACTGAACACTAGTGATGGCACAGATCACAAAGATAATCTTTGTTTCTTTTTGCAGGAGGATAAACTAAGGCCCAAAGAGGTTGACCACTGGTTGTCTGAAGTCACAACAGAAATGACAGCACTGCTAGTTGTGAAGTCCAGGCACCAAACTCTCAGCACAAAACTCTTTCCTGCTCTTTCCCTTCTAGCTCCATGTACCAGTCTTATTTGGTCACTGCACTGCAGAGGGCATGTTACCACATAATTAGTTTCAGGGTATGTGCAACAGCTGCCACGAGCCAGAGTTCCACACTGGAGTCAAATGTCTTTGGTCTAGACGCATCCCTTCCACCACATGCCACTGATGGGACAGCCGCCATAACCACATTCCTTACTCCAGCGGCTCCAAGCCTTTAGGAGTTGGAGCACATGACACATTCCAACCAAGATGAAGTAACTCCTCTCTCTGAATGACTTACTAAAGAACACCTTTAAGGATTTTTTCAGATTTGACATTCTTCTACCCGGGAGCTTAAGGACTTTAAAAAGGGTTTAGAGAAATTTTTTTTCCTAAAAATCTATGTGAGATAAATGTTAAGAATTAAGGGGCCACTTAGGAACCTGGAAATGATAAGTCACAGGAGATCCATGTTATCATTGAGTAAGTCAAAGCAAAAACCAGAAAAAAGGAAATGGTTGTTTTGCAGATACCATCACCGAAAGAATATGTCATATCACTGAGAAATAAGATCTCTTGATACCAATCTTGAGTAATATCTGTTTGAGATTATTTTATTGTATCTGGATAATTTTGGGCCTATTAGCAACAACAAAAATTTTCCTTAAAACGAAGACTCAGAAACCCATGTATGCATTCCTAAGCACATAGATATATTTCATATGCTTTAAGATTATTTTTCAAATCTTCAAACCAGTGAAATAGAAATTTCTCCAAAAGTACAGTAAAAACTATATTTAAACAAGGAATTGCAAAGTGCTTATTTCATCCCTTGATGTTTATTTTGTTTTACAATTCATTTGAGACTTTTAAAGTCAGAAAGAGAAAAAAAAAATAGCTTTCAAATTTGAGTCTGGAACAGAGCTCACCTATCAAGTCCAACAGGGATATAAAGAAAGTATCCCTGTTGGGATAGTTTCCCAACAGGAAAGTATAGAAAAAAAGAAAGTATCTAACAGTACAGATACTGCTGGTGCCCAGAACAAAAGCATTATTGAATGAAAGAAGAATTTAAATCGAAGTAAGCCCTTACTAACTCCAGGTCTTGCTGGCATTTTTCCTAATAAGATGAACTATTAGTCCTGGGTTACATAAACTTCAACACACTAGATCCCTCACCAAGTCAGAGGGAGGCCACAGGCCTCTTGAACCCATGCATCTGTACTCTATTTAAGATGCATGACTGTCCCTCTCTTCTTTGTTTGGGTCCTTAGCTGTGGACTAGGAGAAGAGTGAGGCACAAAACCAGCAGAAACAAAGGCCTGCAAAATGAGTGGAATTTTTTGCTGTTATCTTTGAACATTTTATTTCTTTATTTCAGAAATCCAAAGGGAAATAAAAGTGGAAAGAATTGCAGGCTTTATGGTTTAAAAAAGAAAAAAGAAACATAGGATGAGTTTACAGTTTATAGTATCTGCGAAGCAACTCTTCACTCATTCCTTTAAATAAACTTTTAAATCACCTTTTAAGTGGACAGAAAATGCTGTTATTATGAGTTACTGAGATCTAATGTGGGAGACTAGTTAAGAACCTGAGTCCTGAATTCAAGCAAGAAATTATTCTACCACTGTTAATCTCTGTCCTGTTTAATCTCTGGAAAGTTGTTTGCCCTCAGTTTCTTCCACTGTAAAATGGAGATGATACAGTTGTAGTGATGAATAAATTTACACACACAAACAGATACACACACACACACATATATACAGTAAATAACCTCTCTTAATATTATAACTAGTATTAAGAGTAAAAATAACTATTATGCTGGGGAAATCTCTTTAAAGATTATTTCACAACTTATTCAGTGAATTCCAGGTAGTACAGTTACTTATCTCCTTAGATAGAAGGCTTTTCCTTTTTTCAAAAAGAAACATTTTTAAGGCTATAACACAATCTCTTATTATACTCCCTATCTATCAGCCATTATGCTACAAAGAATTCTTCCTTCGTTAGAGTCTATACAGAGAGGTATAGTATATAAGCTGGTCATTCATTTCTGCCACAACCATTCACAGGTGACATTCACTCAACTCACTTTCACTGACTGTTTATTCAGTGTGCTAAGCACTATGCTAAGGCATGGGGATTCAACAACAAAGAGGCATGAGACATCGTCCTTGGCCTTGAGAAGCTCTTAGTCAAAAGAAGCAACAAATGAGGAGACGCAATCACAACAGAAAAGGATGGGAGCAAAAGGGAATGTGTACAAAGTGCTGAGGCAGCACAGAGGAGGGAGGCATCAATCTGGTTTGAGCACAAGGGAAGATTCTGCAGAGGATGTGAACCTTAAGTGAGGCCTAGAACAAGGAAGAAAGATATTCCAGGCAGAGTGAAGGGCACGGGCAAAGGCACATATATATATACATACTTTTTAAATGCATGGCATCTTGGGTGGAAAAAGAAGACAGCTTGATGGCTAAACATGAACCCCAAGAGTAGAAGGAGGCAGCTACGAAGGTAGCGATACTCATCAATAAAGGATCCAGAAGAACATAGAAAGGGCACTTCATTCAGCAGGGGGGCGACGTAAATGGAGTGTTTAGCACCACATGTTGCAAACTGGGCTTGTGAATGCATTCTCAGAAGTCTGTGAGTTTTATGAAAATTTGAAAGTTCTTTAATTTTAATGATAATCTAAAAACTAAAATTGCCTGCAAATTAAGACATCACTTTTTTGTACTGATCATTTATATTTCAATCGTCCACTCAAAAAATATTTATTGAACACCCCTATGTGCCAGGCACTGGGGATATAACAATGAGCGAGACACAGTACCTGACCTCATAGAAGTTAGACTAATAAGAGGAGGTAACCAAGAAATAAAAGTATAGCATAGCAAGAGACAGTAAGTGCTGCACAGACAAATAAAATATTAACGTGGCAAGAGGTAGAAAGTCAAATGGGGGGTGTTCATTTCATACAGGGTAGTCAAGCAGTCAGTGCACTTCTTCATTAACATGGTATCTGAGCAAAGACCTGAAGGAAATAAGATATTTGAGAGATATTTTCAGAGAAGAAGATTTTACTTCCCCACATTTGTCACAAACATTCCTAAGGGTCTATAAGAATGCTCTTTGTCTCTCTTTCTCTGTTTCTCATTGTTATAGCTCCAGTGCCTAGTATTGTGCCTGGCACATAGGAGTGTTTAATAAATGTTTTTTGAGTGGATGATTTAAATATAAATGATCAGTACAAAAATAGTTGTCTTAATTTCCAGATAATTTTATGTTTTAGATTATCATTAAAATGTATGTCTGTCTCTCTCCTTCTTTTGAGACAATGTCTTATTCTGTCACCCAGGGTGAAGTGCAGTGGCATGATCATGGCTCACTACAGCCTCAACCTCCTGGGCTCACACCTCAGCCTCCCAAGTGGCTGGGACTACAGGCATGTGCCACCATGCCGAGCTAATTTTTGTATTTTTTTGTAGAGATGGGGTTTCACCATGTTGCCCAAACTAGTCTCAAACTCCTGGGCTCAAGTGACCCGGCCACCTTGTCCTCCCAAAGTGCTGAGATTGCAGACATGAGCCACTGCAACCAGCCTGTTTTTATTTTTAAAAGGTAATCTGAAAAAATGGAGAAAACATTTGCAAACCATGTATCTGATAAGGGGTTAATATCAAAAATATATATAAGGAACTTCTACAACTCAAAAGCAAAAAAAAAAAGACAACCTGATTTTAAAATGGGCACATAGACTTTTTTTGAAGAAATGTCTATTTCTTCAAAAGAAAACATACAAATAGCCAACATGTATATGAAACAGATGCTCAAAATCACTAGTCATCAAGGCAATGCAATTCAAACTCACAATGAGATATCATTTCACGTCTATTAGGATGGCTGTTATAAAAAAAAAAAGCTAAAGAGGGTCTGGATGCAGTGGTTCGTGCCTATATCATGCCTATAATCCCAGCACTTTGGAAGGCCAAGGTGGGAGGTTTGCTTGAGCCTAGGAGTCAAGGCTTCAGTGAGTTGTGATTGTGCCACTGTACTCCAGCCTGGGTGACACAGTAAGACCCTGTCTCAAAAAAAAAAAAAAAAAAAAAGATAACAAGTCTTGGTAAGGATACGGAGAAATTGGAACCCTTGTACACTGTTGGTGAGAATGCAAAATAGTGTTTCACTAAGAAAAACACAACAGAAGTTTCCAAAACTAAATTAAATATAGAATCGCCATATGATCCAACAATCCTACTCTGGGTATTTATCCAAAAGAATTGAAATCAGGATCTCAAAGACAAATTCACACTCCTGTGTTCACTGCAGCATTATTAACAATAGCCAAGGTCTGGAAATGAAACTAAGTGTTCATAAATGGATGAACGGATAAAGAAAATGTGGTATATACACACAACAGAATATTATTCAGCCTTAAAAAAAAAAAAGAAAATTCTGCCATATGCCACAACAAAGATGAACTTTGAGGACATTACGCTAAATAAAATAAGCCAGTTACAGAAGAACAAACATTACGTGATTCCACTGATATGAGGAATCTAAAATAGTAAAACTCATAGTGGTTGTCAAGGGCTAGGGGGAGGAGGCAACAGGGTGTTGCTATGCAACTGGTATAGAGTTTCAATTAAGCAAGATGGGTAAATTCTAGAGCTCTGCTGCACAACTTTACACCTATAGCTAACCATATTGTATTGTACACTCAAAAATTTATGAAGGGGGTAGATTTCATGTTAAATGTTCTTATCACAATAAGAAAAAAAGATTCCAAGGCAATACCTGACAAAAACAAACACAAGCCAGGTGCCGTAGCTCACACCTGGAATCCCAGCTACTCAAGAGGCCCAGGAAAGAGGAACACTCGAGGTCAGGAGTTCAAGACCAGCCTGGGCCACATAGCGAGACCCCATCTCTATAAAAAACAAACCAACAACAGCAACAAAAATGCTCTACAGGGACAGTCCCTCAATCCAGACCACACAGAATCCCAGAGATCAAACAATATTTGAAGAGATCATGACTAAAAAATTTCCAAAACTCACTAAAGATACAGGGAGCAAATGTGTTACAGCAGGGTAAGCAAATGTAAACTCACACTCAAACATCTACAAGTAAAATTACAGAATACCAAAAAAGCTTATCTGAGCAAACGACAATTCATTAATCAGGAACCTCCAAACCAGGAGTGGTTCAGGAGTTCCTCCAAGGGAATACAACGGGGAGGCTTTTATAGGATAAACACAGAAGTAGAGCAAAGAAAATATTTGATTGATTACAGATACACAGTATCTGTACTGTGTTTTGAAGAGATTTCAAAAACAACCATAGAGAAGAAACAGGTTAACTACAAAAGAACAAGGACTAAGATGACAGCCGACTTTTCAAGGAAACAAAAATATTATTTCAACAACATAGCTTGAAAGGGCTAAGAAAAAATAACTCTCAACCTAGAACTTTACTCCAAGTTCATCTGCCATTCAAGAATGAGGATAAAATAAAGATACATTCAGACAAAAACAGCTTACCACTGACATAATCCACCTGAAATTGCAGCATGCTTCTACTAGCTTGTAAGAGCCAAATGTGAGGTTTACAGGAATTTTGCTAGTCTGTAGAAAACATGCTGATAAATTGAAATCAGCCATAGTGGGAGTATTAAACCATGGGAATTGGCAAACACTAAAAAACAGGATTTTTTTGCCCCTGGGGGACCAGTTCCTAAATATTTACCATCACGCCACTGACTTCAAAGAACTAGAATGTGTACATCAAGAAAAAAAATAAATCTAGAAGGAAGGATTGATATGAAGGAAAGAAAAATGAGAAAATAAATACAGTAAATGTAATTCTAAATAAGTACTTATGCATAAAACAATAATAATGATGACAATTCCTGAGGTGGGGAGAGTGGGAGCATATCAGTCAGGTAACCTCCTTATACTGTGGCAACAAACAATCCCAAATCTCTATGGCTTAAAACAACAAATGTTTATTTCTCATTCATGTTAAATATCCTTCAGGGTTTAGCTAGGGAAGTCTGCCCATTGTAGCCCCTCAATGACTCCGGCCAAGTAGAAGCATCATCTCAAAGTCTTCTTCAACAATTGCCACAGGTCGCATGGTGAACCATACGCTGTCTTGCTAAGCTTTTTCACACTTCACTGGCCAAAGAAAGTCAGATGGCCACATCTCATTTCAAAGACACAAAAGCGTAATCCCACCATGTCCCCAGGAGAGTATAAAAATAAAAACATGTAAGACAGGAGGCAGGTGGTTGGTGTTAAGCATGTTCCAAGTTCCTCATATTTTCGTGTGAAAAGAGAAGACAAATAGGGTAACTTTAAACTTTAAGTATGCAAATTTAAAGGATAATATTAAAATTTTAAGGATAACAGCTGAAAGAATAGAGAATAGAATTATAACTTCCATATCTGTAGGGAAAAAGAATACAGAAAATGCAATTTAAAAAGAGGAGATAGACATGGAAAAGGCAAGGTAAATAAGTAACAAAATAAAATGGTAGTGTTAAAGAGAAAACTGAGGCACTGTAAAAGTTTAAAGAGCTTATCTGAGCAAATGACAATTCAGGAATCTGGCACCTCTAAACCAGAAGTAGTTCAGGAGCTCCTCCAAGGGAACACAAGGGGGAGGCTTTTATAGGATAAACACTGAAGTAGAGCAAAGAAAATATTTGATTGGTTACAGATACACAGTTGCCTTATTTGGTCTATCCTGTTGGACTGTCTCTGATTATATAAGTTTGTTGGCTGCTTCTGATCAGTTGAGCCTACGTTCTGTTTTTCTTTAATATAGGCATTTACAAGAAATAACTCAAGTTAAGTTTTTCCTGTTTGTAAATCAAGCAAGTTTAGATCACCCATAAGGCCTAACTGGTTTTGTTTGCTAAGGGATACTTCAGGCCTGGTCCCCATTTTAATTTACTTTAACAATAGAAATAAATGCAAATATAACAACAGTTACAACAGATGTAAATGCAATAAACTCACCACCTAACAAGAGATAAATCATGTATTTGCATTTTTTAAATGCTGCTATAATCTGTTAACAAGAAATATACCAAAAACTTAAGAACACAGCAAAGCTGAAAGCAAAAGGACTAATTCAGAGCGCAGGCCTGGAATCACACAAGCATGGAAATCATATAATTCTAGGTACATCCTCAGGTAAATCACCTAACCACAGAGCGTGGCAGTTTCCTCATTTGTAAAATGAGCTAACAACTACACTTCACAATGTTAGTAGGATTAGATGAGCTATGTATAAACTGTTTCAGACAGAGCCTGGTTCATAGCAGTTGTTTATCAAATAATAGCTATCCTATTGTCATTAACCCTACCTGCAAATCCACAAACAGTGGGCTTTTTGTTTGCAAAGAAGAGTGTTTGCAAAGAAGGCTGCAAATTTCCTCCCATCCTATCCAGATAACCTTTTGCAATATGATTTTGCCACCACTTGCATCAAGAGTTTTAGTCTGTTTCTCCACCCCTTGAATTGGGATGGCCCTGGAATGGCTTTAATTAATAGAACTCAGAGGTGAGGTTTATGAGTTCCAAGTCTACGCCTCAAGAGACCACGCCACTGCCACTTTTGTACTCTTGAGACTTCTACTTCCAGCCAAGATGGAGTTGGAGAGATAGACTAACCTTCTTGCCTGAAATGACTAAAAAACTGGACAACATGTATGAAATAATGGTTTCAAGAACAGTGATTCCTGAGATGTAGAACGAGGTGAGCATTATAACTGTCCCAGCCTACTGCCTGGAGACAGTGTCCAGGCTGCAGCACAAGGAGGGGAAGCCCAGGCGAAGACCAGTGGTCTCCCTCATTTAAGAAGACCAAATTGGGAATCTGGAAAGATGATGTCAGGTAGAGTTCACAGGAAGGAAGGGTGCAGAGAGTCTCTGCTATGATTTGGATGTGGTTTGTCCCCATCAAAACTCATGGTGAAATTTGATTCCCAACGTGACAGTGTTGGGACATGGGGCCTAGTGGGAAGTGTTTGGGTTGGTGGGGGCAGATCCCTCATTAATAGATTAATGCCATCTCACAGGAGTGAGTTCCCACTCTCGCAGGACTATATTAGTTACCTTGAGAGTAGGTTGTTCCTTCTTGTGTTTGGTCTGTCTGTACACACTGTGCTTCCCCTTCTGTTTTCTGCTGTGAGTTGAAGCAGCATGAGACTCTCACCAGGTAGGCTGACCAATCTTGGAATTTCCAGCCACCAGAATCATGGGTCAAATAAACTTCTTTATAAATTTCCCAGCCTCAGGTATTCTGTTACACAAACACTAAAAGGAGTAAGAAAGTCCCCCTAGAATATTCAGCTATTGGTCATCACATGTGTGTGATGAAAATGCCTGAGGCCAAAGGAAAAACCACCCAAAACGATAGAGGAAATAATGCTTGGAGCTCACACTTTGCTCTCTTGGAACACAGTATCATGATATGAAGAAATTCAAGCTACCGTCTTTGACAATGAGATATCATGAGGGAAGAGGCCCAGACAAATGCCAGCAACAACCACCAGACATGTGACAGAGGCCGTCTTAAACCTACTAGGCCCTGTCAAATCACCAGATAACTGCAGCCTCATGAAGGACCTTAGAAGATATGAGCAAAACTGCCTAACTGAGCCCAGCCAAAGCCAGCCCTAAGAATCATGAAAACAAATAAAACAGGTGTTGTTTTAAGTCACCAAGTTTGGGGCTGATTATTACACTGCAATAGATAACTGATAAACAAGATGTCAAAAACAATGTTATATACACACAGCAATAAACATCCAGTAAATGGCCCATCTCTACCACCCATCAGCTTAAACGAATATCTAAGGGCAGCCAGCCTCAACTGCAGCAAGAGTCACAGCCTTCCTCATTCGCAGGAGGTTAAAACCACTGTGGAAAAAACATGTTTTCCATCATAGAATCCTGAAATACCAGGGTTCACATGTCACCTCCACTGTGAAGCACTCGCAAGATTCTGCTGACAGAAATAACCATTTCTTAATCTGTCATGAGATTAGAGTAGAAAAAAAAAGAAACCACTTCTTCCTCTTATTTCCATGGAAGATTGAGGACAGCCCTGTTCTGGCACCTACAACCGTGTGTTCTGTGGTCTTCTTATCCTCAGCAGCAGCACATCACAGGCACAGCTAAGCAGTTCACCCTTATTGGTAGTGAGTCACACAGCACAGTTCCTATCCCTAAACAATAACTACACTGGAAGTAGCATGCTGGGCTATTTTAATCCTGAAGAAAGAGGTCAGAAAACTGAAACAAGATTAAAGGATGACTAAGGAAGCAGCTCTGTGTTAGTTGTGACAGAGGGAGCTGGCTTTAAATTTATCAGGATCCCTCCCTTCCCATGACTCACCCAGCCTTGGTGGGGAGAAATACCAAGTGCAGTCTCAGGGCCCAACAGGCCACAATATACAGATGCTCCTTGACTTAGCACAAGGTTATGTCCTGATAAACCCATCGTAAGTTGAAAATATTAAGTAAAAAATGCATCTAATACACAATCTACTGAACATCATAGCTTAGCATAGCCTATCTCAAACGTGCTCAGAACACTGACATTAGCCTACAGTCGGGCAATGCATACTTGCACCATCATAAAGTCAAAAATCAAAGCCAAACCATCATGAGTTATGGACCCACTGTAGGTAAGGGTCTAACGGGCCTTCATGCATCTTCAAGGTCAGGCTGCTTCAAAACGGGCATCTGTCTGCTGCCTTTGGTCACAATGGAAACTGACAAACCATGAGTTCATGCTGAGCTGAAAGGCCCAGATGAGCCACAGAAACAAGATGTAACTGAACCTGCAGGAAGGGTAAAATTAAAATCACCCCAGCCCTGACTACCTCTGAGACCTCATTTCCTCTGGCTCTCACCTTCATTCACTTGGTTCCAAGCACTGCAGCCTCCTTGCTGTTCTTCCATCATGCCAAGGACACTCTTGCTTCCAGGATGTTGCCTTTGCCCTTCCCTCTGCTTGGAATGCTCTTTCCCTAGTTGTTTCCCCTCCCTCAGTTTTCAGTTCTTTGTTCAAATGTTACTTCTCCAGGGCAGTCTTCCTGGACCACTCTATCTACATTAAGACCCCCACATATGTCCTGCCATTCCCTAGTCCATTAGCCTGCTTTTTTTTCCTCATGATCTATCTACCTTTAATTTGTGTGTCTATCTTCCAACTCTAACATGGGCTCTATGAGGGCAGGGATTTGACTATTTGTTTAAAACTATATACCCGGCTGGGTGCGGTGGCTCACGTCTGTAATCCCAGCACTTTGGGAGGCCGAGATGGGTGGATTACGAGGTCAGGAGACTGAGACCATCCTGGCTAACTCAGTGAAACCCCATCTCTACTAAAAATACAAAAAAATTTAGCTGGGTGTGGTGGTGGGCACCTGCAGTCCCAGCTACTTGGGAGGCTGAGACAGGAGAATGGCATGAACCCAGGAGGCAGAGCTTGCAGTGAGCCAAGATCGTGCCACTGCACTCCAGCCTGGGCGACAGAGCGAGACTCCATCTCAAAAAAATAAAAAAAAAACACTATATACCCAATGCTGGTGACAATGCTGCACAACACAACCAGGAGATAGTCAATAAATATTTCTTCTATTAGTGAATTTACTAGATGTCTTCTATACATTGTAAATGTATCACCAATAGTGTTCTACATCAGTGGTTCATGAAAATTATGAAGTTGTAACCTCTATAAAGACAGATGCTGTATGGATCTTGTCATTATGAACTATATGTAAAAATAACTGACATTTGTAAAGTACTTACCCTGCACTGAGCCCTATGCTAGGATCTTTTATGCATTTTTCCAAGTTTTCTTCCCAACCACTTTATGAAGTGGGTATGATTACCATCCCCTTTCTACAGATGAGAAAACTGAGGCTCAAAGAGAAAAGTCACTTGCTCAAGGTCACAGCAAAGATTTCAGTCTGGCTCCGGAACCCAAGCTTTTAACCCCAATGCTATACTTCCAGGTAGGAAACAGAATGAATGAATGACTGGATAATGAACTAGAGATGCCCATCAGACACACTCTGGTTGCATGCTCTTCTTGCAGACTCTGTACAACCACCGCCAAGCTCCATGTCACGTGGCCCTACTCCTCACTCTCCTTCTTCTAGCGGCTAAATGATCAAGGGATGGGACTCTCACCCCTGGCCTGGCTGGGCCATCAGATGCCTCACTTAGAAAATTAGAATTGGAAACTGAGAGGCTGAGCCAGGCAATGGAGGAGGCAAAATTGCAAAGAACTGCTCAGGAAGAGCTGGGGCCTTGCAAGCCAAAGCCTGAGGAAAGTCCAAGTTCTGAGGAAGCACAGTGGACACACAGGAAGAGTGCGGAAAGCAGATAGTGAAGACAGGAGCACAGAGTAGGGAAGTCATAGAAATGCCCTAAAGGAGCAGTGAACTTGGATCCTGATAGTGCTCCACTTTCTGCTCCAGCAAACCCCAGCTTTTTTTTCTCAAGATAGTTTGAACAGTCTCAACCCACCCACCCAAACATATTGCAATAAATTGGTCAGACTAGAACAAATAAAAAATAAGAGAAATGGTGTTCATGTCCAACAGAACCCTCTCTAAAGCTGTTCTCCAGAACCACCTTGAATTACTTATTAATCCTGTACATGCAGGTGTGAGAGTTGGGATAGTTCCAGATTCCAGATTTTTCTTTCTCTACCACTGCTGACCTTATCAAGGTCACCAACTTCTGCTGCCTTTGGCCATTTCTGGCCAGAAGAAAAGCTCCTGCTGTCCCACATGACCCAATATTTCAGAATGAGGTTCCCTCAGCAGAGTTGGTGGGCTGCTAGTGACCACAGCCCTCTCATTCCCAGGGAGCAGCAGGCTAGAGGCTGTGCCAGGCCATGGTTAGGCACCTGCTCCATCATTCCTCTGCTCTCTGTGAACTCTCCTCACTTGTGATGATTTCTCTTCTCAAGGGTCCCATGCCCTCTTTCTCTGAAACTGGATTTCTCTGGGGATCCCTGGCCCATCAAACTAGGGCTACGTATGTCTGGATTCCACTTATATTAAGAGCTCAAGTACTTTCCCACAGATGTTCCATGATGCCTGCCTGGGAGGCCAAGAAGCCTACAAAGAGGATGCTGCTGTCCCAGCTCCACCTGCTGACCAGTTACAACATGGTCCCAGCCAAAATATCCCCTTTGAAGACCAATGTGTATTAGTCCATTTTCAGACTGCTGTAAAGAACTGCCCAAGACTGGGTAATTTATAAAGGAAAGAGGTTTGATTGACTCACAGTTTAGCATGGCAGGAGAAGCCTCAGGAAACTTACAATCATGGCAGAGGGCAAAGAGAAAGCCAGGTACCTTCTTCACAAGGCAGCAGGAAGGAGAATTAATGCAGAAGGAACTACCAAACACTTACAAAAGCATCATATCTCGTGAGAACTCACTCAGCATCATGAGAACAGCACGGGGGAAACTGCTCCCATGATTCAATTACCTCCATCTGGTCTCTCCCTTGATACGTGGGGATTACAATTCAAGATTAGACACAAAGTGGTATGGACACAAAGCCTAACCATATCACACTGAAAGATAATGAACCCATATTTAAATATCACTACTTAGCTGGGCATGGTAGCCCACACCTGTAGTCCCAGCTACTCAGGAGGCTGAGGCAGAAGAATCGCTTGAACCAGGGAGGCGTAGGTTGCAATGAGCTGAGATCATACCACTGCACTCCGGTCTGGATAACAGAGCAAGACTCCATCTCAATCAATCAATCAATCAATATCACACCATAAGCACCCATTCATGCTGCCATCCACACAACAGAGACCTCCCTTCTGAATCGAGGGAATCAGAGAAACCCTAACCAGCAGGACCCTAACACAATCCTTCCAGTTTATATGATGAAACTGAGTCATCCCAAGGCAAGGAGGAACCTCAGGTCCAAGAGAGCCAAACATTAGTAAGGAAGATTCCTTTATAGGATTCACACTTCACAAACTACATGTGGTTGAGTTCAGAAAACACCAAATGAAGGCTGGTTTGAACTGTGTGATGCAGGAAGCTGTGACCATACAAAGTGAATAAGGTCTAGCCTTCATCTTCAAGGCATTTGTAACTCAGTGGAGGAGAGTTAGACCCACCTATTTAAATGACAAGAAAGGCATGTGCAGATGCTATACCTGGGGCAGAAATAAAGTGCTATAGTAACCTAAGTCAGGGGTGAAGAAGAGTAAGTATGACCAGGGAGGGCTCCATGCAGAAGACCGAAATTTGGTTAATCCTCAAAGTTCCTACTTATGCTTCCAGTCTCAGCTGGAATGTCCCCTCCCCAAGAAGGCTTCCAAGACCTCATAGGCTGGGTTTGTACCCTGGATGTACAACTCCACAGCACCCTGAACTTTCTTCCACTTTCAAACCTGACTCATCACCTTCCACAATTTTCTCACTAGATGCAAAATCTACAAAATTGGGAATCTCATCCTCAGTAGTGCTTTGTACACTACAGCTGTTCAGTAAAGAAATGTGTATATATGTGTGAGTACTAAACAAAACTGAGCTGAAAATGCATGTGATATCTTACACCCATACTAGAGGAAGATAAGGTACAAACGGGTATTTTTAAAATAGTCTGTGCAAAGGTACAAAAGTGAAAAAGAAATAGAAGAGAGAAGTGGTGAAAGGGGAAGGTAGCATAATAATACCCTCAAGTAACCTTTACCAAGCCCCATACATGAATTCTCCCATTTAATCCTAACTACTTTGAGAGGGAGATATTATTATATAATTATTGTTCTACAGACAAGGAAACTGGGATAGAGAGAGGTCAAGAAACACCCAAGGTCACACACAAGAATAAGAGCCAGATTGGACCTCAGCAAGTCCAATCTCAGAAGCTGCACACTTCATCAACACCTGACATTGAATTGAAAAACGGCAAGAGACTTTGAGAGAAGAGAGAGAAAAAAGCCTAAATTTGGTGTTTGGAAAAGTACAGGAGCATCTGCTCTGAGAGCTAGCTTCTTGAAGGATGCAGCCACAGTCACTGGCATTCTGAAAGTAACTCAAGTAAAAGTAGTAGAACAGTAGAGCAAGGGACAAGTCCATGGATAGTGAAGCTTAGATATTTCTCTATTTATTTCCACTATAGTCCACCTCCACCCTTGGTCACCTTCTTTATTTTCCAATAAAAGGATACTTATAGATGCTGAAATAATTAAAAGCAAAATCTTTTGCAAATTACAACATGGGATGTATACTTCAGATGTTTAAAAGATTTTGTTATAAATGGCCTAAATTATAAATTTGTTTTGGAGGAGGGTTAAGAAATGCCTTTATTGTTAACTCCCTTCTTCTGTCCAATCTATAGGCTGTTGAGAACAGTGCACGAAAAGTACTATTTTGTTTCTCAATTTTTAAAGAAATAACATTATAAAAACTCCAGGGGAGCCTGGAGAGCCTTCATAATATCATGAGTTCTACCTCCAGGAGCCCTATCAGGTTCTCACAGTGAGGTTCAGAGAAAGCTCTCCTGGTTCCTCCTGCAGGGAATTGTGAGAAAGTCACCATTTTGAAATATGCCCAGAGTATTCTGTTCATAAAAAGGTCTGCCCTCAAAGGAAACTACTTCACCAGAGCCTACCTGCCTGGAGGAAGGGAAACATCCAACTCCAGCCCCTTCTAGCTTTCCTGTCTCTCCTAAAAAGAAAAACAAAACAAAACAAGACTGAGAAGCACTTGTGAAGGTCACAGCCCAGGGGCACAGGCTTACTACAGATGGAGACCTAATCACAGGAACAACTTTAGACACATTTTGATTAAGTACTAATTATAGTCCTCTGTAGTTTTCCAAGTATTCTCATATATATGTATTTCCACTATATATATATATATATTTCCACTATATGTATTTCCACCATATATATATTTCCACTATATGTATTTCCACCATATATATATTTCCACTATATATATTTCCACTATATATATTTCAAATATTCATGTGTTTCCAATATACATATATATTTCAAATATACATATATATTTCCAATACACATATATATATTTCAAATATACATATATATTTCCAATAAACATATATATATTTCCAATATATATTTCCACAGCTACCTTAAGAGAGAGAGAGGGTGTCTCTCTGTCACCCAGGCTAAAGTGCAAGTGGCAAGCTCTCAGCTCACTGCAGCCTCAACCTCCCAGGCTCAATTGATTGTCACACCTCAGCCTCGTGAGTAGCTGGGACTACAGGCACATGCCACCACAGCTGGCTAATTTTTGAATTTATTTTTACTTAGAGACAAGGTTTCGCTATGTTGCCCACACTGGTCTCGAATTCCTGGGCTCAAGTGATCCACCTGCCTCAGCCTCCCAAAGTGCTGAGATTATAGGCATGAGCCACCATACAGGGCCTCATTTATATTAATATTTTCTCATTTCATGCCAACGTGTGGGAAAAGCAGAGAAGACAGTGGCCTATTTTGCAGATAAGTAACTAAAGATCTAGGAGGATGCTAAACATTGGTGGAGCTAGTTTTTAAACACACCAATTCAAACTCAGTCCAGAGCAATTTTCACTAACCCACATCTTGTCCTATATTACCTATAGATTAGAAAGAGTTTGCTAAAATAAATTTACTGGATTTCAACTTAATTACAGTCCCCAACTTACACAGGCTAGGGATACCAAATTTGAAAATCCAAAATCCAAAATGCTCCAAAATCCAACACTTTTTGAGTGCTGACATGACTCGCAACAAAAATGCACAATGGAGCATTTTGGATTTCGAATTTGGGATAATGCAAATATTCCAAAATCCAAAAAAAATTAAAATCTGAAACACTTCTGGTCCCAGGCATCTTGGATAAGGGATACTCCACCTTTAATACAAATAACATTTATTGAGCCCTTACTTTAGGCAGGCACTCTGACAAACCCTTCCTGTGCATGACCTCCTTTTATGCTCATTGCAGGACTTATGAGGGAGGTACTGTTCGGTCCGTTTTCCAGCAAGAGATTCAGGATCACAGAGGCAAAATAACTTGCCCAATGTCTCAACATCCAGCAATTGTGATTCCAAAGGTGAGCCCTAATTAACCACTTGATATTTGTGCTTCATTCTATTCATGGCAAGCATCAAAGACACTCCTTGGCCAAACTTTAGTTAGGCTCCTGTAGACCCTCTTCTTAACCTTGATCTTCTGTGTTCACCTGTCCTTGCCAGGTCTGCACAGCTCAGTCTTAGCAAGAATCTCACAAAGTCAGTTTAGAGAGAATCCCCTACCCTTGATACCTGCTAAAGTTCTTCATCCCTGCCCTTTATTGTCTAAGTCTTTGATCTGCCTTTAGCAAGAATCTCATTGGATCCATTTAGTAAGAACCCCCTACTCTTGAAGTCTCCTCATAGTAATTTTCCACCCATTGACCTCCTCACTCTACTCACTGGCTATATATCCCCAGCTGTCTTTGCTGTATTCAGAGTTGAACCCAATCTCTCTCCCCCATTACAATACCCTTATTGCAATAGTCTTGAATAAAATCTTCCTGACCATTTTAACAAGTGTCAGAATATTTTTTTTTCTTTAACACAGTAATGATACTCCAGCAAATTAGCAGTTCTTGGGCTCAGGAGCTTCTGGAACCAAGTTTCTACCACCCAGAAAGCCCTGAGGCTTGTATGCACTAGGACGTTCAAACACATTTTAATTCAGTATTTGATCTGATGGAAGAAGTACAGGAGAGCACAAGAACACTGAGACCTAAAAATGGGAAATATAACTGGTGGGTGCGTGTGGCATCGGCCACACTGCAGTAACCACCTCACTGCCTTCCCTACCCAAGTCAGTGTTTGGTAGGCATGTGGCTTTGAGAGCCACTGAAGTTTGGTCCATGACCTCCTCACTCTCCCCCGTCACCAAGGCTTGCCTTTTGGATCCCAAAAGCTAGGCAGATGGATAAGAAAAAGCCTCACTTCTAAATTTTTGAGGACAAGTATCCCACTTCTAGCGACTATACCACAAAACCCAGATTATGTAAGGCCTGATTCCTGCTGAAGATTCACTGGTGAACTCACTCCCATGTGCCTCCACTCTGAGCTCTCAGGGTTCAGGGAGCAGAGCAGGGAGAGTGGGGACCTAACAGCTGCCTTAAGGATCCTCTTGATACACACTCTGGGCCTAATTCCAGGGGAAAGACTTCCTATTTTTCACACACACACACACATGTGCACACACACACACACAAGAGATTTCAAACACATACATGCACACACATATGCACGCATGCACATAAATGCACAGAATTGCTTTTGCTCCATGAGGCAAAATGCTTAGGGAGGCATTAGGAGCTACTGCCAAAGCATCCAAGCTCATACAATCTCAGAGTCATCTCCATAATAATCATCATCATAACAACAATAATAGCAGCTATTTGTTACTGAACACCTGCTGATGCCATCATTTAAACCATTGCATTTACTCCTATCAGTTCTATGAGTTGGCTAGATTTACCAATAAGGAAACTAAGACTCAGAGAGGTAAAGTAATACGCCCAACAACACCCAGCAGAGCCATGATTTCTACCCAGCTCTTTCTGGTTCCAAGGCCACTGTTCTCTCCACTCCATCCCTGATTTCACATCAGGAATTGTTTCCATCAAATATGGGAGTGGGACACAATACTCAGTGTCTCAGAGTCGAACCCTTCATGGGCCAGTTTCACACTAGAGCCACACAGTAAGTGCTCAATAAATATTTGCTGAATGAGCGAATCTGTTTAGGTTCTTAAATTATATTTCCAGTTTACTGAAGGCTATAACCTTCACTTCAGGGTCCTTCTAATCAGATTTTTCTGCTTTTGTTGGTGACAACAATGGAAACTGTGTGTCCCTTTGATCCCATTACACTCCTAGGAATCAGATCCAAGGAGATAATCTGAGAGACACTTTTCAATGGGGTTATGGAGGGAAAAAGAAGCCAGAGAAGAAAAGGGGGGAAAAACAATGCATATACTGCATTTTCTATTTACTTGGCCTTAAAAGAAAGAACAGAGAATTTCTCAACAAAGAAATGAATTCTTAGGAGAAATAAGTTAAACTTTTTTAGTTCATGCTGCCAGAGCTTTTTCCAATATGCAACACGTGGTTACACTGGGATGTCACGTAGTAGCCCCTCACAGTCAGTTAACTGGACACTACGGCTAACTGTCAGAGACGGTCCATTAATGTCTTACATTTCTTATGCTCTCTCTCCTATACAGCTGGTAAGAATGTAAACTGAAACAAGCTCCCAAGGGCAGGGTGGCCATGTGGATGAAGAACCTTAAATATGTGTCTTCCTTTTGATCTCACAAGTCCACTCCTAGAACCCAAGGAAATCATTTGAAAGGCAGATAAAGATTTAGGTGCCACAACATTCTTTGTGTTTCTCATGTTGGCAAAATTTAGCAAACAACTTCAATGTGCTATAAGAGAAGAATGGCTAACTTTGTGGACTATGAAGCAGGGAATAACAATAATCGTATCTAACATATATTTCTTGGTCAGGGAAAATGTTCACAATAGAACAATAAATTTAAAAGTAGAATTCAAAACTAAACAAATACTATCAAAATAATTTGTCTAAAAATAATTGTTAGTTCATATTTACCTATGTCTATGTAAAAGATCACAAAGACACTCCAAAATGCTAAGTAGCAAACCAAGATGCTACCTCTGGCTACTAGAATTATTTTTCATTTTCTTCTTTATATATTCTTATCTCTTCCAAATGAACATTTTTTTTTTCATTTTCAGGAAAAAGGTAATTTTTCAATGAAAGATTTTTAAAATCTATCTTCACCCTTCAGGAAATTGACTTGCAATATCTATAATAGTCAAATCATCCCAGAGATGTGAGAATTTTTTAAAACACAACAAAACAGAAAATTCTAAAGAATAACTAAAGGAAACATATTTTGAAGTCTAACTCCAGCCACTCTTGGGAGGCTCTTTCTTATATATAACCCACTCTCTCCCACTGTATTTTATGCCTATTAAACTTGGTTTGTAATCTTATTAATCTTTGAATCTCTATGGTTTACCACAGTGCCTGACACAAAGGAACCCCTTAATGAATGCTTGTTTAATCCCAAAAGCAACCATCTAGTGGACTATGGGATCCATGGTGTCATCTTTCCCTCAAATGGTCTTATACCCTTCTAGCAACAGTCTCCCTTTCCTTTGGAGACAGAGAAACTCTTCCCCCAAATCCCTTGGATGCCAAGGTACAAGAAGGTGCCTGGAGCATCTGGGGGCCACCTCCTCAGCCAAATCTGCAGTAGGACTAAAGGAGGCCGACTGGCGGAGGGCAGGAGGGCTTCAGGATGGAGAGAGATCAGGCAAGGGCTGGAGAAGTAGGCCATAGGCCAAGAGAATCGGAGACCAGTGAAGGCAGAAAGAGGTTTCTGAACCCTTGAGCCCTCAGTTCCATCCCTGATGACCTGATTCCTGCAACTTAGCCTCATTTCTGTCCTTCCCAGCTATGGCGAGACCATACATCCTCATTTTGCTTGGGCTGATTTGATTTGGTTGTCTATATTTGTAACTAAAACTATCCTTACAGATGCTCTCTTTTTGTCTCTAATAACTATAAACATATAATATTAAATTAGAATCATTAAGAAATATTGCATAGGGAAAACAAAACAAAACACTGCTTTGTTTCCAACAGACTAGGGCAAGACCATGCCTGATAAACTTACTTATCAGAAGAGCAGAAAACATTTAAAACGTTGCCAAGGTGATTGATACTGATGGTGAAGTTGATGATAAAAACTTCATATAAAAATTTGAATGTGAGGCAAAGCTTATAGGATTTGAATGTAAAAATCTATTTATTTGTTTGTTTGTTTGTTTGTTTGAAACAGAGTCTCACTCTGTCACCCAGGCTGGAGTGCAGTGGCGCAATCTCGGCTCACTGCAGCCTCTGCCTCCTGGGTTCAGGTGATCCTCGTGCCTCAGTCTCCCAAGTAGCTGGGACTACAGGCACGTGCCACCATGCCCAGCTAATTTTTGCATATTTAGTAGAGACAGGGTTTCACTACGCTGGTCAGGCTGGTCTTAAACTCCTGACCTCAGGTGATCTGCCCACCTTGGCCTCCCAAAGTGCTGGGATTATAGGTGTGAGCCACTGCACCCAGCCTAAAATGCTATTTCTAATGGGCATAGGGCATCTAAGCCCAAAATCTATGTATTTCTTGAAGGGTGGCATTTACACTAGCATGTCAGGTTAAGATGTGACTTCTCAAAGGCTGGTGGATATTCTATTCAACTATATGACGTAAGACACTATTTAACATGCTCACAATTAAAGAAGCAACTGAAAACTCACTTCCTCTCAGGGTCCTACCTTTCCTCAAGTTAGTACATAAATGGCAAATACAGGACACACAGATGTCAGCAGAATTTCTCCATGATTTTACCAAAAAGACGTGATGATTTTCAAAGATACTTGACTAAAAGAATTTTTTTGAGTCAACAAAAAAGCGATGATTTTTTAAAACTGGGGTGAGGGGTGAGTTCTGATAAGTAGCAACTCCAGTGTGCACTGTCTATACATTGGAACATTTTGCCTAAGCATTATTAATGATCTATAACCCATAAGACAAAATGCAATATCGTGGGCAGGACAACTCTTGATAATGGAGCTTGTAAATTTTAAGGTAGGGCCTGAAGAAAAGTAGACTAAGAACTAAAAATACGTATTAAAATTCCAAATCAATCTAGCATCAGACCAAAAAAGCCATTTAAACAATAATTAGAAGGTGAGTTTAAGTTAGCAGCACTTGAAAAATGTATCTAGGGACAGAAAAATAACACTGTGTCTCTACTCTGCTGTGAGTCGTCCTTCCATTCACTCATCGGCTGAATGAAAAAAGTGTGAAGCTGTGTGCCAAGTGTGCGGGACTTGGGGAGAAACAGGGTGGGTGGGCTCCAGCCTTCAGGAAGCTTATGGTCTACAAGGAAAAGCAAAATAGTCCACAAGTAATAATAATAGCAGAATATTAAAAAATAAATAAGTAAATAACAAGAAGTATCTACCCTACCTTGTAGGCAGTTCAACCTAGTGCACTGAATCTAGAGGGAAAGAACACCCCAGACCAAAGAAACACCATACGCAAAAGCCCTGAGGCAAAGAGCAGGGTGTAGTAAATGTACTTAGGGAAGTCTAGGAAGTAGAGGCAACACAGTGAACCTGGATTTGAATACCAGCTCTGCCTGACATTTATTAGCTGTGTGGCCCCGGGCAAGTTACTTAACCTCTCTGTGCTTCATATATAAGATAGGAAGCATCATTTCTATGCACGGGATTATTAGAATGGTGTCTGACACATGGAAAAGTGTTTATCAAGTGTTGTGGTTGGAACATAGAAAAGGAGAGACTAGCATAAGGGCAGCAGGGGCCTAATCACACAGGACCTTGCTGGGAAGACATTCGAGCAGTCTAAGTCTTTTTAAACAATGCCTATAGGCTGCTATCATGACGATGAATGGGGGTGTGGTGATGAATGCAGATGGACCAGCTGGCCAGTAGGAAATCTCCTGTTGTGGCCAGGTGCAGTGGCTCATGTCTGTAACCCCAGCACTTTGGGAGGCTGAGGCAGGTGGATCACCTGAGGTCAGGAGTTCAAGACCAGCCTGGCCAACATGGTGAAACCCCATCTCTACTAGAAATACAAAAATTAGCTGAGCATGGTGGCAGGCGCCTGTAATCCCAGCTACTCGGGAGGCTGAGGCAGGAGAATCGCTTGAACCTGGGAGGCGGTGGAAGTTGCAGTGAGCCAAGATCACGCCACTGCACTCTAGCCTGGGGGATAGAGCGAGACTCTGTGTTATGTGGCTGAAAAGGAAGAAAAGCTCAATGTGGATTGTGCAGAGGCCTTGGAAAATGTTTCTAAGACATTATTTCTCTACACATTTAAGAGTTCAACTTTATCACTAATACCAAAACTTAATAAAAAAGCTAAATACTACCTCAAATCAATTGTAACCTAACTCCTGTTAGAAAAACATATGAATATTTTATAACCTCAGAATTTTAATAGAGGTTTGAGAGGTATAGTTGAGACATGGTCTTCTGATGCTTCAAAAAAACCACCTCTGGGTGGACAAATACTTGAGGCAAACTCTCAGTACCAGTATCAGCTAAGTCTGGGCCCTAGTGATGTACTTACCAAAGGAAACTTAATAAACGCTTCAAGCTCCCAGATATCCCATTTTTCCTATGTTTCTTCCTTCTGGAAAACCGGATCTTCTTTAAAGGAATGACTGCCAACAGGCTGAACCCACAAGTATAAGCAGAAAGGCAAATAACAGGTCCACTGTGCCAAACCACAGTTTCCCACACTGATTACCAGGTAAAACCCTGAACTTTCAGTATAGAGGTTAAGAACTCAGGTTTTGGAGTCAAAGAGATTGGACCCAGGCTTAGGACCTGGCTCCATCACATATGGGGTATGTAACCGTAAGTACTCAACCTCAACCTAATCCTCAGGGTCCTCATTTGCAAAATGAGGGGAACAATTTCACCTGGCTCTAAGGGTTGCTGTGATGATGACCTGATAGAATATGCATAAAGCACTTAGCTAGTAAGCACTAAATAAATGACAGTTATGATTATTATCCATCTGTGGTTCCCACAATGCCACCAAAATTGGGGATTAGATGAGGTACAGAAAAAAAAACACTGCTGGCAAATTGGCCACCTTTTTTGGAAAATTTTGTGGCATATTGACTTAATAGTGAAGATACACCTACCCACTGCCCCAGTACTTCCACTCCAAGATGTGTACTCAGCAGGCGTGCAAGCCACATGCACCAAGAGACAAGAGCTGGAAAGCTCACAGGAGCATCATTCAGAATAGCCAAAAACTGGAGACAACCCAAATATCCATCAACAGTAGAATGGAAAAATAAATGATGAAATGATGGTATATTTATATGATAGAATACCAACCACATGGTGCAAAAAATTAATAGATCATGGCTACATTCAACAAAAGGGACAAATCTCACAAATCCAATGCTAAATGAAGGAAGCCAGACACAAATGAATATGACTAGATGGTTACATTTGTATAAAGTTGAAAAACAAGCAAATTAACTCTAGCATTTAAGAATGCATACTTAGGTGGTAAAAGAATAAAGAAAAACAAGGAAGATTACCATGAAGTCAGAGTAACAGTTAGCTTTGAGGGGAGGTAGGGGGTTGTGACAGGAAAGGAGAACACAGAAGACTTTTAGGTTGTTTCCTTACTTCGTGATGGTTACATGTGTATTGTATTGATTCATTATGCTGTACATTTATGTTTTGTATACTTCCTATATCTGTGTGATATCTCACAATAACAAAGCAACTCTTAAATCACTCCTGCCTGCCTCATCTAATCCAGGCCCTCTTTTCAGGAACGTCAGAGAACTGTGGTCTATGCAGTTAGCTCTGCCTTTCTGTACCGCCTGTCTACTTGAGCCAAAATCCTGGTGGGGGATGAGAGACAGGAAGGATACAGAAGAGGTGAGAAGATGGGCCTGCCACCTGCAATTGCCTTCATAGAACTGTCTAACCTTTCCATCCCAGTCTCAAGGGATACTCCCAGGGTCAGCCCCTGTCTTTTATCATGTCACTTTTGAGACATGAAAACAAAGAAGAGTGAGTGAAGACGCCTATAATTAGCACAAGCAAGAAATGAAGGACACAAGGAGAAATGCCACATTAACCACTCATTCAACATATACAAAGTGCCAGGATACAGTGACTGTTCTGAGGGGGGAATATGACCCAATCAGGGCCAAAGTCCTTCCTTAAAATCCACACTGGGACATTTAGGGAGAGAAGCACTTTCTCCCTAAGGCTGTCAGGCCACAAAAATGAGTCTGGACTTCAGGAGGCCACTTTTACCAGCCATGTGGAGGAAGCATGTCTGCAAATGAACAAAATAAAGCTGACAGAAGAGGGCAAAAGGGCTGAGAGTTGGACAGAGATAAGACAAGTGCCTGAGAATGGTGCCTTGCATCAAGAGTAGCAAAGGCCAGCAAAGGTAGGGAGAGGGTTTCAATAGCCTCGAGTCCCCAGTTCCACCTCTGATGTCTTGATTTCTACAACTTAGCCTCAGTTCTGTCCCTCCCAGCTATGGGAGACAACATGGGTCATATCTCGTGCTCAATTCTAATAAGAGAAAAGTTAATAACATGCAAGTCTTTCTCTTAAGGGAGCCGCAATTGAATCAGGAAAATAGAAGTAACAACAGATCATCACACAGCATATGGGAGTGCGCCATCATACAGAAGTGGCGCACCTTAACCAGACTAGAGGATGAGAGGGAAGTGTTAGGGAAGAGTTTCTGAGGAGGTGAACTATGGAATGCTTTGGTTTCATCAGGGGAAAGAGAAGTGTAAGGGTAGTCAAGGCAACAGGGGCAGCTTGTGTTAAGGTGGGGAGGTATGAAGGGAACTGGGAGGAAGGACACTCAGAATACTTTGGCACTGCTGAAGTGCGGTGTGGCTGGCAGGAGAAGCCAGGGAGACTGGTCATAAAGGAGCTGAGAGGCACTTAAAGGCCTCTGACTTCACATAGGCAAAGGGAGCCTTTGAAAAGCTTTAATCAAGAGAAAGATTTAATCAGGGGTCCAATTTCCCTTTTAAAAAGATCAAGGAGATGTTTCCTAAGTCCAATGTCTGGCAACAGGAAGACATGTCTCTCTCTCTCCCTCTCCCTCTTCCCACCCCTGTCCTTACTCCACCCTCTCTCCAGCACCCTGAATCTCTGAAACTCCCTTCTGCCCCGCAACTTTCATTTCCTGAATTTCCCACCCTATGGTATAAACAATAGGGACAACACCAGCTAATGACAAGAGCAACAGACCAGTGGTCTTGAAAGCTGGATCTAATCCTGCTCTCCCACTACCAGGCCTTGGACCCAGGCCAAGCCACCACAGCCTCCGGGCTCATCTGCACGGACAAAACGAGGATAACAAGATTAGTCTACATACCTCAGAGGTGCTATGAGAAGTGTGTGAAAGTGAGTCAAAATCACAACCCCAAGATATTGATAAAAGTGACATCCTGATGCAAATAGCATCACAAAGCATACTTTATTTGTTCTCTTATTAATTATAAGTAATTAAATCCTATGATTTGGTAAATATATACACAGTATCCATGTTTTGTTTAAAATAAGTTAACATGGATTTCTCATATCTGAACATGCCCAATATTATTTTGGGAGTAATCTGTTTTGACTTTATTATATTATCTCTGATAAGGACAGCATTAAATACTATCATTAAAATGATATATCCTGATAGATACCTAGTATTTAGCTTAAAATTAAATAAAGATAACAATGTTAAAATGTGTTTAAAACACAGGCTTAAAAAATGAATGCAGACACCCAGACAAGTTTCCCACCAGTGATAAAGCACTTGTACCTCAGCAGGGTATCAAAATCCCTTAAGATAAAGGCAGGTGTTTCCTGAAATTAGGTAGCAATATTGCTTCTAAGATGAAGCTGTGCAAACCTAGTGGGAGAGAATCATTGAGGGTGTGTGTGTGTTTGTGTGTGAGAGAGAGAGAGAGAGTGAATGTGTGTGTGTGTGTGTGTGTGTGTGTGTGTGTGTGTTTAATCTCACTAATTTACAGAGCATATTTTTAAGCATTATTAGCAGCCTTGGGGCAAGTTTTCTTTTAACAGCATGCATAATCGTCTGACAATTGCCCACAAGGTGGCACCAAACTCGTGCCCTGAGGACAACCAAGGAAACTTTTTAATAGTAAAACAGATGCTCCAAATACTCAACAGACATCTTCCTTTATAGCTTATCCTCAACAATGAGCCAGATTTATAGTTATAAGTATCTCCTTCTCTCTATATGGTGCAAAAATTAAAACCTATTGCTGCCTACAAGAAAACAGTAAAAGGAGAAAGACCTCCTCCCAAGATAGACCTGTGCTACTTCTGAGCAGTTTTCAAAAGAAAAAAAAAGTATCTAAGTCCTAAAAATAAATGTTCCACTTCTTTGGGGGGGAAAAAATCCTGAAACTAATTTAGCTCACTGAATGGTACCCAGAAGTTGATCCTTCTTCCTCTGTTTTAAATTTTATCTTATTGAGCTTAGATGAGTCGGTGTAAATCTTTAAAGAACTGACTGTTATTTAAAAATTAAAACAGATTTGCAATTAATACTTAATGTGACAGGTCATGGTTATTTTAAAGGGATGAGATCTATTATTGGAGACTGTCTCCTTCCTGCCCCCTCCACCTTCCTCCATCTTACAAAGGCTATTCTAAGGTGAACTGGTTGGGGCTGGAGTAGAGCTCTGGAAACCTATAATAAAAGTCATTCTGGGAACAGACACAATGTATCACTGTTGGCTTAGGAGATATTCTGCCAATTAAAAACAGGGCACTGGGACCTGAGCCCCTGGGAGCCAAGCCTTCCATTTTGAAGAAGCAGAAGTTATGCAGAGCAATAGAGAATCCTCAAAGGGTCCAGCTTCCTGTTAGCATGAGAGACAGAACTACCTGTTGGGATGAAAGGTTTATTTGTCCCCATTTGCAACACCCACCACAGATAAGAATGACCCTCTGTGAATGGCTTGAGTCATGAGCTTGCCAATCTTTTAGGGGCAAAAAAAAAAAACTAAAAGAAAAGAACCAGATATATCAGTCCATTCTGAGACCCCCAAGCTCTCTATCACCAGATATCATCCCACTGTGCCCAGAAGCCCCAGTAATCCTGTTAGCAATTCCTGAGTCATTCATTCAGCCTCCAGAACATTGCTTTCCCAAGGAAAGACCCCTCATTGCAACTACTTGGCTTCTAATTATTGGTGATCCCTGAAAACACAGGGTAAACCTTTTATTTCTGTTTCCTAAGCAGGGCATCACCTACCTCTGGACCACATGCAGGATTCGAGATCTCAGGGAAGGGCATCCTGGGAGGCTTATGAAGGTATTTTCTGTAGCCCATGCTGCCCACCAAGCCAGACACTCCTGCAGGCTGGCTGGAGAGGCAGGGTGCCAAAGGGAAGCAAGCATGTGGTCCTATTACCAATGATCTTAGAACCTGCTCATTTATCACTCTGCATTCTGCAAACCTGCAGTGGCAACCCTCCCACCCTGCCTCTCCCTTCATGTGAGGAACATAGAATCCAGCTTTTCAGGCAACTCTCTTTCCAGCAGTCTGAGGCTGGGAGTAACCCAGCAGAAATTTTAGCTCAAATGTCCCAGACCATTTTATAAATGCTGCACAAGCCCCTTCTTACTCTGGTTTCAAACCAAGAATACTACTTATTGCCATCACAGAACTCAGAATAAATTCATACAATGAAATACTGTGATCACAAAAACACGTAACACTTCATTCACTAAGTTATGCCAGTAAATTCACTAAGTAATTTCAGTGTTAGATTCCATAATAACAAATATCCCTAGTGATACAGCTTTTGATTTAAATAGGTAGGAAATTACCATTCATCAGACATTTGCCATATGCCAGCTATTCGGCTAAGCACTTCAATTTCCATTTGAAAATTGACCATAACCACAGACTTCTGAAGAACCCATGTCAAATCCTTGAGTGTGCTCCTATATAGCATTCAACACACATTTTTATCACCAGAGTGTACCAGGATGGACACAGAAATGAAACAGTCTAGCCCTGCTCTCAGAGGACTAACACTTCAGTAGGGAAGGAGAACTGTCACATGATTCTGCCAGGTGTGTGTCAGGCACTGCCGAGGAGAGAGTGATTACTCATTCATATATTCTAGACCTCACCCTTTTTGGAACAATTTTTAATTGAAGAAAGAGGAATACAATGGAATATAAAACCGAATAGAGTGGAGTAGAGAGAAGTCATTAAGAATCTGAGAAATGATGGTCTGTGGGATGAGAAAATGATCCCTCCTACAAGGCTTGTCTTTTAGCTCATGGAAGATAAATGAGTTCTCCAGGAAAGGGGCATTTATTCTGATGAAGTTCAAGCCCCTCAGCCTGTCTCTGCCTGATCTTCTCTCTCACCCCATTCAAGCCAGGGCTAATCACATCCCTTCCTTTTGATCTTCATCACATCTAAAGACTTGACAGACCCATACCAACCTTTCCCACCATCAGGTTGAATATTCCTTCTCTCTCAACCAGGTTCATTTGGATTTGTCCTTAAAGAACCACCTCCTTTGGGCAGCCTTTTAGGATCTCTCTCTCTTTCTCTCTCTCTCTCTCTCTCTCTCTCACACACACACACACACAAACACACACAGGCAATACACACATACACAAACACACACACACACACCAGGCTGTGTAAGAAGCTCCACACCCAACATTTCCCCATTAGAATGAAACTCCACAAGTCCTGCTTACCATTGTGTCCCCAATGCCTACACCAAAATAAGCACTTAATCGATAATTATCAAATTTTAGGCTAGGCACAATGGGTTATGCCTGTAATCTCTATGCTTTCGGAGGCAAAAGTAGGAGGATTGCTTCAAAATTAAAAAAAAAAAATTAGCCAGGTGTGGTGCCATAGATCTGTAATTCCAGCTACTCAGAAGGCTGAAGCAGGAGGATCTCTTGAGCCCAAGAGTTTAAGGCTGCAGTGAGCTATGATCACCTTACTGCATTCCAGCCTCGGCAAAAAGTGAGACTTCATCTCTAAAATAAATAATTATCCAATTATCAAATTTTAATTTTTAGTTAATATGACTTGCTCCCCTAAAAGACTGTAAGCTCATAGAGGACCAAACGTGTCTGGCTTCTAGTAAGTGCACCAGAATGTTCACTGAACAAACAGCAAAGGACAGGACACAAAGCAGACTTGTCTAAATTAAATTACCATTCCTTATTGTAAAGTTCAGTTTTTTAAATCATAAATTTCCTTTCTTCACAAAGTCTTGCCCTTGTTACCTTCACAAATTCTGTTGTTTTCAGAAGCCACAATATAACGCTAGACTAAAGAATTCAATAACAACAAAGAAAGGATTACTTATTTGAATAATCCTTTCTGTTGAAATTTAACATTCTTTTCCCCCAGAGAATATACTGCACGACCCCTGGCTCCTCACCCACCTATGCCTATGTTACTAGGATTTATCAGAGTAAACAGGCAGAGAGAGGCAGACGGATGTTTCAAATGCCATATTAAACAAAATATCTTTTTACATTTGTAAAATAAATAGGATTTCATTTGCTCACATCTCCTGGAAAAAGTGGCAAGAAGGAAAGCAAAGAAAACAAACGTGAGAAAAGGGCCAAGGCAGGCCTGGCAGAATGTATAATAACCTAGGTTAAGCTGGCTACTTGAGCCCTTTAGCCCTGGAGCACAACCAGCCCTCCATTGCCCTGGCAAACACCTTCCCTCCTCCTCCTCCTCATTCTCCACCGTCCCCAATTAGCACACTGAGAGAACCTAACAGCGACATGTCTTCAGATGGTCTGTTGAGCACAAAGCTCACAATTACTGTAACGAAGTGCCCTCAGGTCTGTCTTTAATCAGTGTCTGCACCATTGCTCAGGGTGAAGAGCCAGGAGCCAGGAGTTCCTCACCCGCCACACCAAAACCCCGAGGAGTGACAAGGAAAAAACATCATCCTCTAAGAAAGGGTGGACCTGACACCCATATACTATGCATTTACCAGGTAAATTTATTTATTTCTTTGATAGCTTCTTTTCCGTTAGCAAGCCACCCCCAACATTCCATCAACCCCAATCAAATAAGGAATCAGAATTGGAGCATTTCCACTAATGGAACATCAGTTGATGGCCTCATGCTCTGGTAATGGTGGATCATTCACCGAACAATGACTGAGTGCCTACTATATGCCACAGATCACAATAGTTTATCTTCTATTCACCATTAGGTGTCTCAGGACAAGGCTATGTTTTCCAATTCTAAGCACAGCATCTGCTACAGGAAAAAACGGGAGATATACAACACATCCTCGTTGGATGTGTCAATGAAAACCAATGTACCAGTTCCTAATCTACATGTTCTTCCTCAGCAAGACCACTTACAGCACCAAGCTTGGGGAATACCCAAGGCTGGCTAACTTATAAAGAAAAGAGGTATTTATGGCACTGAAATCAGAACTAAAGAAAAACTAATATTTACACTAGAAAAGAAGTCCCCAAGTCTCTTCTGGTAAATGAATGGGCATGGCTATATTCCAATAAAACTTTATTTACAGAAATAGGCAGCAGGCCCATAGCTGACCCAGACCAGACACTGTAAGGATCTGGTTTACCCTCCCTGAAAACAACAAAGTCTGAATATAGGCTTGCCTTTAATGTGTTTTGTTCAATCATTCGTTCAACAGCTTTTATTGACCATCTACTCTCCGCCAGGCCCTGGAGACACAACACTAAAAAAGACAGGCATAGCCCTACTCTGATGGGGCTTACAGTCTGGTTGAAAGGGCAAGCATTGGGCCAAACACTACCCAGAGAAGTTGCAGGGGATATGAAAGTAAAACTCAGGTGCTTATAGTTCACTCTGTCTGTTCCTGGGACAACTGAGGAAAATGGTTAGTTTATGAAGACCACCATTTGTATGGTGAAAGAGAAAACGTCACTGGGGGGACTGCAGAGGTGAGGCTAGATTGCCTACTTCAAAAATAATGAAACATTTATACAAAGAGGAAGACTACAGAGCTGGGGAGTGAAAGACAACAATGATACCAGTAAAGAAAAGTGCGCAGAAACTAGTGGCAGGGCTCAGCTGTAAGGTTCTGTAGTGATCACATATGAGGGTGGTAGAAAGGGCATCAGAGCAGTATTGAGGTTTCCGCTGTCTTGGATAACCTAATCCCCACATGCATGCCCACACTTAGGAATATTGTGGGATGGTTGAGCAAACACATGCATGCAATCTGTAAGCATATGTCATGGAGTGTGCAGGGTTTATCAGGCATGAGGCCCTGAGAAGACTGTGTTACTTCATACCCCACCTGTTGGCTGTGCCAGACCAAGGGGAGAAGAAAGTAATCTAGCACAACTTTCAAAGTCTCACTGTATTTACATTTCAGAGATCTACCCCTTAACTAACCTGGGGAAGCCAAAACCACCCAAAGGGACATCATCCCAGGAGATGAATCCCTGGGTCATAGGATATGAATATTTTTGAGGCTTTTGATACACTTCATCCATTCCATTTTGGCTTCTTATGTTACAGGAATCTCTATGGAAAGGAATTCAGTGTAACACTTTGAATAAAAAGGACACGCTATATATATATTAAAAGAGCTGCCCTTTATGAATTTGCTAACACATTTTTAGAGACTAAAATGACTAAAATATGGTCTCCATGGCTGTGTCACATTTTTTTAAATTTCTACTTGCCAACTGGAACATTTTAAAAACTGATGTTGGCCAACTTAATGTGATTATTAAAATAATATTTATCATATCACACCATATATAAAAATCAACTCAAAATGGATTAAAAACTTAAACATAAGACCTTGTATTAGTCCATTTTTATGTTGCTATGAAGGAATACCCAAGGCTGGGTAATTTACAAAGAAAAAAAGTTTATGTGGCTCTGAAATCAGAACTAAAAAGAAACTAAAATTTACACTAGAGAAGGGGTCTGCAAATCTTTTCTGGTGAATGAATAGGCATGGATGTATTCTAATAAAACTTTATTTACATAAATATGCATCAAGCCAAACCTGACCAATGGGCTATACAGTTTGTCAACTCTTGCAGCAAAGGCAAAAATCAGTTCATAACAATACTGTCTTAGTCTATTTGCTGTTGTTATAACAGAACACCACAGAATGGGTAATTTATAAAGAGAAGAAATTTATTTCTCACCGTTCTGGAGACTGGGACGTCCAATATGTAGAGGCCAGTATCTAGAAAGGGCATTCTTGCTGCATCCTCCAATGGAGAAAGGGCAAGGAGAGAGCAGGGGAGAGCACGAGATGGAGTTCACAGCCACAAACCCTTTTATAATCGGCATTAATCCATTCATAAGGGAGGAGCCTGCATGACCTAAACATCTTCCATTAGGCCCTACCTCTCAACACTGTTGCACTGGGGATTAAGTTTCCAAAACATGAATTTTGGAGGGGCACATTCAAACCACAGCAAATACTAACTTGCAGTGTATTACAAAGAAATCAGCAATTTAATCCCAAACTGGGAATTGGTGTTAGACAAGATGAAAACCTGGAGACCACAAGAACCAAACTCTGCTAAATTATGTTTGCAAAACTGGAACCACGTATGTTTGTGTAGTGCTTGTAAAGCCCTCCACAGTTGAGACTCAAAATACCATGGTAGTCGAAACAACACTGAGCTGGTAATTAAGCTACTGTCTCCCAGCTCCAAACCCACTTTTTCATGCCATCTTTGTGATGCTAGGGCTGGTGCTCTGTGAACCACATCTCTGCTTTGTCAGCTGCTTCCTGTTAGGTTCTGCCTATAGGGGGCGCTGGAGGAAAGCTGGGAGGCTGGAGGAGGAAGGCTTGGCCCGTTCCTCCCTGTCTGATTCCTATTGGCTTCCTGCCCCTGTGAGCGTGACCCAGCCACGCTTCCTCACTCTAGCAACCCCACTTCCTTTCTGTGGCAGCTGCTGAATCCAGTTTGCAGTTCTTTCTGGAACCAGCCTCATTGTGTTGCCTTAAAGACCCCCAATCCCAGCCTGCCTCTTACCAGACTTCAGAGATTCCAACACCACCTGGACAGTACCAACTCTCAGAGGTCTGGGTACCAGGCCCTCAACTACCCTCCTCTTGAGCTCAGAGGCCCTAGCACTAGCTATCACCTTGGAGATATAAGTTCAGCCCCACTTGGCCCTTCCTACAAGCTTCTAAATTTTAATAATCCTAACCCCAGGAATGGCAAATGCCTCCTGCAGTTGCTACTTTCCATGATTCCTTAGTGTTGTCTTACTGCCTTCTCAGTTCTCTAATATCTGGTTAATAATTTTAAATATTAAATGCTCTCTGTTGAAGTAATTGGTGTAGCTTCTGTCTCTAACTCAGCCCTGACTGATACATAGTCCAGCAATTTCAAAAATAAGCCAAATCCGTGTTTGTATTTCTTGAACACTATGGAGTGGACACATAATTCTCAATTTTGCTTAAAATCCCATCTGTTGTTCTCAAATACTACAGCTGTTCCCAGGCCAGACACCTAAAAAGCTCCATCCCCCTAAATTCCTTCTACCCTTAGCTTCTCCTTCCCTTCTGTCTTGCTTCCCTCTTCCTTTCCTTCTAATTCTCCATCACAAAAGCCCAAGAACCAATCTGCCAAAAAGGCTGTGCATCAGGAGAGCTTTGGGTCCTTTTTTCAGGCCAGAGATTATGGACTGAAATGTCCACCAGGAAAAAAACTCTGGGCCAGGCACAAGAATTCTGGAATTCCAACACCATCATATCTTGATTGCATACTGCAACTACATTCAGCCTCAAAGTCAGAGAGAAATGTTGGGTGGTGGGGCCAGTGGGGACTACAGAGTGTGCGTGCTGTCTAGATGCTAGATCTTCAATTTTTCAAGGGAGGCAAATATATATATTTTTATTTATAAATATATATAAATTAATTTTATATATACTACAATATTTAATATTTAATAATTATGTATTTATAAATTAAATATATACAACTTTATGTCAAGATTTCTATGTGAAATCTGCAGGTTCTTAAACATTGGTTATATTTTATTGAACACTCTGTGCAGGTTAAATGAAACTTGCCTCATCCTGCCTGCATGCCCTCTTTGCTACCACTCTCTATACCAGCCCCAAATGGACCCAATATAGTCCATTTTCTTGACAAAGATTTGACGATTGAAACTATTTATTAGTAGCCACCTACAGAGCTCCAATAAATAATAGCAAACCCAAGGTAAACAGGATTCTTTACCCTACCACTTTTCTAAGATACCACCAAAATGAAAGAAAGGAAGGAAGGAAGGAAGGAAGGAAGGAAGGAAGGAAAGAAGGAAGGAAGGAAGGAAGGAAGGAAGGAAGGAAGGAAGGAAGGAAGGAAAGAAAGAAAGAAGGAAAGAAAGAAGGAAAGAAAGAAAGAAAGAATTTAGTAACAGAAGATGCTACCTGATTTAAACCCTCAAAAAATCTGTGATTCAACTTAAAAAAATTAACAGAAGAAAATAGCTCTCTAAAGCAAAGCTTTTAGAGTTTATTTTAGAAGAAGGTGGTAGTGCTACATTATTTTTTAAGTAATATTTACAGAACAGTTTGTTCTGGAGTTCTAAATGACACAAATAGAGCAGGCCTGGTGTACACACACCAAAATGGTGACAACGAAATTAGGGCTTGATCCGGTGATAAATTACCCTCTGCTCATCTCACGAACACCTAAGGCTCCAAAATGGAGAAGGCATCATTTGAATAAGTGAACCATTGGCTACAAATAAGGGCACACACCCACTTACCCCCACCAACCCTCCACATACAATTACCCAATCTCTAAGAGAAAGACACGCTGGCTCTATAATTACCAGATGTGAACTAAGAAACTATGCCCTTTTAAAAGCTTAGCTATATTTCCCAATCACACTTTACTCAGCCTCAGAGCAAACTCCAAAGCAGTATGATGCCTGCTCCTGAAAAGTCTAAAGGGAACAATAGACAGCAGGGCCTACTTGAGGGTTGAGGGTGGGAGGAGGATGAGGATCGAAAAACTACCTATCAGGGGCCAGGCGCGTGGCTCACGCCTGTAATCCCAGCATTTTGGGAGGCCGAGACAGGCAGATCACAAGGTCAGCAGTTCGAGACCAACCTGGCCAACATGGTGAAACCCCATCTCTACTAAAAATACAAAAACACAAAAATTAGCCAGGCTTGGTGGCAGGCACCTGTAATCCCAGCTACTCAGGAAGCTGAGGCAGGAGAATCGCTTGAACCCAGGAGGTGGAGGTTGCAGTGAGCAGAGACCACGCCATTGCACTCCAGCCTGGGCGAGACAGCAAGACTCCGTCTCAAAAAAAAAAAAAGAAAAAAAGAAAAACTACCTATCAGGTACTATGCTTATTACCTGGATGATGAAATAATATGTACACCCCTGTGACATGCAATATGCCTATAGAACAAACAGGCACATATACCCCTGAAACTAAAATAAAACTTAAAAAGAAGAAATGTCTAGCCCAGAACAACGTCCAAATCTACCTGCTGGGGGACAAAGCAATATCACTGATGCTAGAATTTGGGGGACAGGAGGTGGATATAATTTCATATTCCTTATCCCAACATGTCACTGTGTGTTATTAGTGCAGAAGGAAAAAAATAAAATTTTTCACAGCCAACTGTTTTGTTTAGCTTCAACAGGGGCTTATTGTCAACTACAATAGAAGCTGGCCTATCTAAAATCTGCAACCTCACTTTCCAAGAGCCAAAAAGGAATTTGTAAATGGCCTCTGCAGAGTTCACACGGTTGGCATATGAGCCTTATTCATATAGTAGGCCATGCCTAAAGACTCCATGGAGACCTATTGTATCTTCAGTCTGTTGACTCTTACTTGACACAAAATTCTAACCAACCTGGTTGATTTTAAAGTTTACAGCTCAAACTCAGGAAATTCCAGTATGAAGACAAATCAAAGGCACTTGGAAAAGAAGAGGATATATATATATATATACAGTGAAATGCTCATGGTAGAGACACCAAATGCTGAAGAGAGAGATGCATTAAAGAAATGAAGAAGAGTCCATGAGCCCATTGCTCAAAGAAGGCCTTCAAGGGACAGTGCAACTTGTCAAAAGCCAGAACAGACTGGAGCCAAGTAAAAAAGGAGAGCATGGAAACAGGCAGTACACTAGGATCAATAGAAAAGGAACCAACTGGAACAATCCAGAGTGGCAAAAAGGCCATGATTCTCATGCTGTTGGAGTGGCAGCTGATGTTTATCATGGACTTACACATTCAGTCTTGGTGCAAAGTGCTTTATCTGCTTTCTCTTATTCAATACTCTCAGCAACCCTATGAAGCAGGCTTTATGTAAATTTTACAGGTGAGACTACAAAAGCTTAGAGAGTTCAAGCCCAAGGTCACCTTGCTAGGAAGAGGGATAGCCAGAATTGAACTTCAGGTCCGCCTAGTTCCAAAGCCTGCCCTGGGGTGGAGGAGAGGGAGAGGCAGACAGAGGAAAGAAAAAGGATGATACTATTAATGGTATTTAATAATATTTTGTTACAGCAGCCTAGGTAAACTAACAACCCCATTTAACAGATGAAGAAACAGAGCAATTCTTTAAAACATTCATTCTAAAAAAGAAGAAAAAAAACTTTCCCAGTGGAAGATAAAACTAGGGGTATTTGACAGGCAAAATGACTCCCCTTGTAACAGAACACTGCGAAGGAAAATTAAGCAGAACTACTAGATGACATAAAATAACTGACCATTTGTACGCATCCTTTTTCTTTCTTTTCATATTTGAAATAACATAACTTGCAGTAAGATCAGCAAAGGGAAAATCTCTGTAACAAAATTTCATTTATAGACCATACCCATGAAAAGTTTAAGCTTGACACTGATACAGGGCAGGGCATCATCACCTGAAAGAAAGGGAAAGAGAGACAGAAAGAAAAAAAGAAAAAGAAAGAAAGAAAACTAACAACCCAGAAAACTAAGCAGCTCATTACATGTTCTCTTCCAAATTCTGTAGAACCACACTTGAAGTGACAGATGTGAAGAGGAAGGAGGTTCACACTCAGAAAGGCAGGAGAACTATTTTGGGGAGGTTTGTTGGAGGAGGTGGCAGAGTGCCTAGAGAACTAGTGCACAGATGTAGCTCTGGCATGTGTATCCATCCATTCATTCATTCATGCATACATGCATGCATGCAGCCAACATTTACTGAGACCCTACTATGACTCATCAACAGAAGATGGAGATACTGTAGGGAACCAGACATAGTCTCTGCCCTTAAGAAACTCACAATCTGCTGGGCAATTACAGACACGTAATAAGTCAATGAATAGTCCTCATAATGGGGACTTTAGGAACTAAGCATGAGATACAGGGAGTAGAGGAAGGCTTCTTGGATGTGACATGTGAGTCTTGAAGTGGAGAATAACCAAGGAAAGAAGTGGAAGGAAGGCTGGAGAGATTACCAGGGACAGGGTTTTGCATGCCACAATGAGATCTTTACATTTTATCCTGAAAGGAATGGAAAGCCATTCAAGATTCATTATCCGGATAATTACATGTCCAGATTAACATTAAAAAATAAAAATCTAGAGACAATGTAGATAACAGCGTGGAAAGATATTTAGACTGGAGGCAGGTCAAGAGACTACTGTATTATCTAGGCTAGAAATATTAAAACCTAAACTAAGGTGGGGATGGGGGAAAGTGAAAAAGAGGAAACCAAGTTAAGAGACACTTAGGAGACAGCATCAGTAGGCATTTGGCACTGATTTGTACAGGGGTTACAAAGAAGACAAAAGAAGAATGGCCTCAAAGTGTGTGATTTGATTGTGGTACAGCTAGGATGCTGGAGACATTCCCTAAGAACAGAGGACACAGGACAAGATTGCGGGGAGGTGGCAAGCTCAGACTTGAACATGTTGAATTTAAAGTGTCTTTGTCTGGAGGTCCTAGTCATTGGTGTCTCTGTGTTGCACCCACTGTATTAGTTATATATTGCTACATAAGGATATTACCACAAATCTAGCAGTTAAAACAACACACAAATATTTATTTCAGTTTCTGTGGATCAGGAGTCTAAATATGACTTAGCCAGTTCCTCTGCAAGGGTGTAATCAAGGTGTCAGGCAGGGTTGGGTTTTCGTCTGAAGTTCAACTGGGGAAGGCTCCATTTCCTAGGTCACATGGTTGTTGGCACCATTCAGTACTTTGCAGACTGCCAGACTGAGGGCCCTAGTTTCTTGCTTGCTTTTGATTGGAGATTACCCTACCCTCTTTGCCACATAGCCCTCTCCATAGGCAGCTAACAATGTGGCAGCTTTCTTCTTCAAATCTGGCAAAAAAAAGAAACTCCTTCCAAGCCAGACATTACAATCTTACGTAACATGATCATGTGCATACTATCACATTTGCCATATTCTACTGGTTAGAAGCAAGTCACAGAGCCTGCCTCAGGGCAGAGGATCACAAAAAGGCATGAGTCTAGGAGGCAAGGGTCATGGGGTCTGTTAGAGTCTGTTAGAAGGGTCCTTAGAGCCTGTTTCACCACATCCATTTTCATTTAGTCTCCAAAAGTTAGAAACCCTTAGACCTGCTTTCTTACCTCCTATGGTCCCATGGCCTAAGCAACTAGATACTGAATTGTATGCAAATATAGATCTACAACCCATCCATCCCTCTCAGTTCAATCTCTTTCATGAAGCTGTCCCAAGGAGGCTCTCCTCTCTCTCTCTCCATTCTGATCTCATAGCACTTAAAATCTAAAGTAATGGCTTCGAGAATTTGAGTGTCAGAAAACTAAATATCCCCCAAAAGGAACCAACCCAAATGTCCATCAGTGATACACTGGATTAAGAAAATGTGGCACATATACACCATGGAATACTATGCAGCCATAAAAAATGATGAGTTCATGTCCTTTATAGGGACATGGATGAAGCTGGAAACCATCATTCTAAGCAAACTATCGCAAGGACAAAAAACCAAACACCACATGTTCTCACTCATAGGTGGGAATTGAACAATGAGAACACTTGGACACAGGGAGGGGAACATCACACACCAGGGCCTGTTGTGGGGTGGGGGGAGGGGGGAGGGATAGCATTAGGAGGTATACCTAATGTAAATGATGAGTTAATGGGTGCAGCACGCCAACATGGCACATGTATACATATGTAACAAACCCTCACGTTGTGCACATGTACCCTAGAACTTAACGTATAATAAAATATATATATATATATAAAGAAATAATAATAGCTGTCATGTATTAAATGCTTACTATATTTTACTCACTATACTGGAAACCAAATATGCAATATCTCATTTAATCCTTATAATGATAATAAATTAAGGGTACATATTATTCCAATTTTACCAATGGGAAAACTGAGGCATAGAGAGGCTAAGACACTCACCCAAAGTCAGATAGCTAATAAGTGGCAGGAATCAGGCAGCCTGACTCCAGAGCCCACACTCAAAGCTAGCCCAGGCACTTAGATATCACCAGTTACATTTTTACGATCTTCTGAATGAGAAAATACAAAATAGCTAAAAGCTACTTTGAATCCAGTAACAGTTTTAAATACAATTTTCCAACACACTAGTATCTACAAACATTTGCAAAAAGCTGTATGTACATGTGCAAGCATTTATTCTCTCCACAGACAATGGGGATTGGCGACCATTCGCAGAGCCTCACAGCCCTTCCTACATGGCTCTTCGCTGGGCACCAGTTGCCACTGCCACATTCTTTTGGTACCTGGATTGTAATGTACATCAGCAATTCTCAAACAGGGGCAATTTTGCTCCCAGGAGACATCTGGCACTGTCTGGATACATTTTTTATTGTCATGGTTAGGGAGGGGGTGCTAATGGCATCTAGTAGGTAGAGGCCAGGGATGCCGCTAGACCTCTTACAATGCACAGGGCAGTCCCCCATAACAAGGGATTATCCAGCCCAAAGTATCAATGGTACTGATCTTGAGAAATCCTAATATGTATCACTGTAAAATGCTCTACTTCTCTCATACATATTTGTCCTAACTCTCCAAGATAAACCTCTATGCCATCAGAGCAGGAACTACATGATACCCATGTCACTCCACCTTTCCCAGCCTATGCCTAAGTTCCCAAACACGGGAAGTGTCCAAGAGATACTTTTTGAATTGAAATTTATTTCAAAGAAATTCTAGGCTTTACTTCTACAAGACCTAGTTATTCAATGATTAACACATTCCCTCCAAATTAAGAACTTCTAGTTTGAATTTACTGAAGGCTAATTTACTTCTGGAGTTAACACAGCCCTCCCCAGCAGCCTCCGGCACCTGTATGTTTGAATTAGCAAATAAATCTCTGGTTTAGAAAAATCAGATAAATGAAACAATATGCAGAATTGAGACAAATAGGGAGATACAGAAACATCATCAAATGCCAAGGACTGGAAGGTGCCTATTTCCTAATGCAACCACTCTCCCCTTAAACAAAGGCAAGGGCATGCAAATGAACTAGGGTCCAAAAATGATCCTTTTCTTTTTTAATCACAAATCATTGTGAGTGAAGAGAACATTGTTCTGAAGCACATCAGATATATTTGCTGAATGATGAATGAGCCCCTGTTGTTTGTTAGCACAAGTGGGAGTTATGTGTATATTAAGATGAGAACACACTATAATTCTAAGAAGGAAAAGGAGCTATTATTTCACCTTTTTTTTTCTTGTTTTCTTTTTCTTTTTCTTTTTTCTTTCTTTTTTTTTTTTAACACATTCTCACTCTGTCACCCAGGCTGGAGTGCAGTGACGTGATCACAGCTCACTGCAACCTCGACCTCCCAGGCCCAAGTGATCTTCCCACCTCAGCCTCCTGAGTAGCTGAGACCACAGGCATGCACATCATGCTCGGATAATTTTTTTTGTAAAGACAGGATCTTCCCATGTTGCCCACACTGGTCTTGAATTTCTGCACTCAAGCGATCCTCCTGTCTCAGCCTCCCACAGTGCTGGGATTACAGCGTGCGCCACGACACCCAGCCTATTTCACTTTTCAACATACAGAAATTTAAACTCATATTCCAGACGATGAGTCAGATGACTCCTCCATCCAATGAATTTTGTACAATGTAGGCAAATATTGCATTGTGTATTTCCACACCTCTATGACTCAATCTTAGGGTAAAGTCTGGTTCCTCTTTCCCTCTCAGATAAACAAAAAACAAGTCCATTGAATCCCAGAATAACTTGAAACCTTTGGGACCTGCCTACACTGCTGAGAAGGCTCTGAAATTGTTCTGTCTGCTCCAGCACCGTACTTTCCATGGAGAGGTGATGAATCAGACTGGACAGGACCACAGGGTCTCTGAAATTCCTCAGGAGAATCTTGATTACACCCAATTAGTGAGACCATATACAGAAGCCCGGTGAATCAGACGGCCTCACAACCCAGCAGGTCAGCAGGGCTAGAAAACCAAGGCCATTAGCTCCTGCTGTGTCCTACCTCTCAAAGAATCAAATCCAAGCTGGTTGTGAAAAACAATGGCCATTTTATACAATCAGTCCCAGATTATTTTTAAGGGGGATGTGAGAGATTCAAAGCAGTGGAGAACACCAAAGTCACTAATAGTCACATTTAGAATCCACCAGAGGTTGTTTTTTGAAATGAAAAATCTGACTTCTCAAATACAATTTTCCTAGGCTGATTTAAACATTTCTCCCAAGCTCTCTGGGCCAAATAGCATCAGAAAACAGTAATACAGGTATGTACGAGGGCCTGGGGTAAAGTGGCCTGGGCTGAAGTTCATCTGAGCATTGGCCTGGTTCTATAAGGTTGGTAAGCTCATGTAGGTGGACGGAGCCCCTGGCTAAGGCCTGGTTCAAAGTTTGAGTTGGCATGTAGTTGGCATCTGACTATACCCTGTCGTTCATTCATTCACATCCGACTCCTGAGCTCAGACCTCAATACCTCCCAGGAGTTAGCCCTCTCTTGATTCATTCCACCTACACTGGTCAAGCATCTACTCTCACATGTAAGGCCTTTATTCTGGCCTTTCCTTCCTTTCCTGGTGCCTACATACCCAGATTTTACGCATTCTCCACAATTCTGTGGTCCAAATCCAAGTGAACCTCCTCTAAGAAGCTAACCCTGACCAACTCCAGCTAACACAGTCTCACAATATTCTCTGGATACCAGACATCAGAGCAGCTGTTTGTTGAGCTCAGATGATACTCCAGGTACCATGCCCAACATTTCACATAACTGATCTGGTTTAATTTTCCTATGCTGGGTAAATATCACTACCCCCACTTTATTGATGAGCAAACTGAGACTCTAAGGAAAAGCATCTTGCCCAGATTTCACAGCTAATAAATAATGGAGCTGGAACACAAACCCACAACTGTCTGACAGTAGAGTTTAGGCATGAAATCAGGGGTCAGCCAACTCTTCTGTAAACAAGCAGATAGTAAATATTTTTTGCAGGCCTCACATTCTCTACTGCAACCTCTCAACTCTGCCTGTCATTGTAGTGCAAAAGCAGCCATGCTTCTATATTTCAAAATGAAAAATCTATGTTTCTGTATGAAACATCCTCCTGCATAGAGTCAAAGGGCTCTAAGCCCCTTAGCAGTTCTCCTCTCACCCCAGTGCACACAGCTCTGGACTTACCCACAGTAACAGCAACCTTTACTGGGGGCCTGTTAGAAGCCAGACTCTTCCCAAAGACCTCACAACAATCCTTACACAAGGCAGAGGCCATTAATTTCTATTCTCACGTGAGCCAATGAGCTTTGAGAAGTGAAGGAACTTCACAAGCTTGCCCCAGCAGTGAGGTGTGGCCTGGAACTTGATCCCAGGCAGTCTGACTTAACAACCACAACTTCCACCTCTACAGCCTGCATAGGCCCAGGCTGACTACAGCTGGAGCTGGCACCTCTTCAGCTTGAGCTCCCAGCACAGGGTCCTGGTCTCCTGGATGCTCTGCTGCCCATGTGTGTCCACAGGAGAAAGTTACAGGGTTGCTGCAGCCTCTGGCTTCTGACGTGGGTCTCACAGACTGGCAGTCAGACCTACAGAGTGTACCGCTAATGGCTTTAAACAAGCAGAAATCATATTCAGCTAACTAAAGATCAAGGGCCATTGCAAAACGCCTGATTTCATATTCCATTGTTAAACTTTAATGAGCCATTACATCCACTGGAATGAATGATCTAGTATGTCATATCCCATAACATAATTTTTAAAAGTCTAAATAAATACTGCAAGCCTCAAGGAAATCACTTCACAGAGCCTCTTCCATTTATGGCCCCCACTCCAGGTGTGCCTGAATCTATTCTGAGGCACCAACCTGCCACATCAAACGACATCATCCTTATAATGTTTCCTTTTCCACCAGACTCCTTCTGCCCTAATTGTGCAAATAATGGATAAAGACAAGCCCCATACCGGCTAAGCAGAGAAAGGGGGAATGGGTCCTGATAACAAAGTAATCAATCCTTGCTCTCCCTGTGGGTTGATATGTTTTCCAGTGGCGCATACATGAGTTTCAGAGTCAGAAAATGAGTTTATTGTTGGAATGAACTTGAACCTTAGTAATCCTCAGGTTCCTCATCTAGAACATGAGAACAGAAATGACTATGGCATAGGTTTCTGATTACACCGAACAATATTTCTAAAGTGACTGACCCAAGCACTAGTCCCCATCCTCCTCTCTTTCCTCTTATATATTTTATTTTTAAACCACATGAAATGGAATAATTATCATAGTGTCTGTTGTTTTACTTTCCATACATATTCTTTTAAACTTCCAAATAGTTCCTAGCATGAAGTAGAAGAGGCACTATGACATAATTATGTTGGAAATGCCTACAGAGGTGGTCTTCTGAGTTTTTTTTAGGTCTGCAATTAAGTGTATGAAATAGTTAATAGGTCAAAAGCCTACTTCAATCTAGCTTACATAGTCAGTGTGGTACGTAATGCAACTATCACCTAACTGACCACACATAGCTTGGTTTCTAAAAGGCAATAACATCCAAAAATGTGCAACAGATACACACTCAGGCTGGTGGCTTAGGCCAGGGGGCCTAAAGCCAGATTCCTCAGTTCAAATCTCAACTCTGCCACTTAGTAACTGTGGATGTGGGCAAATCTGTAGTCTCTCCAAGCCTTGGTATCCTCATCTGCAATATGGGATAATGGTGCTTGCCTCATGAGCTTGTTGTGAGGATGAAGTGAGATAATCCATGTAAGACGTTTAATATACTACTTGACTCCTTGTAAGGATTCAATACCTGTAGGTTATTATTCTTAGTGTCACTATTAATGCTGACTTGTCATCACTGAGGTGATCCTAAAGAATATGCAATTCTGGAAGAAGAGCTGAAAGAGAATGAAAAGCAATAAAATTGCAGAGCAATAAAATCACTGGGTAGGGTAGATGGCCTAAGGTGACACTTAAGGGGCTAACTCAGTTGACAGAAATGTATTTTAACATGTGTGTACGTGTGCATGAATTTGCAAAAGTGTACACATGTGCAAAATCTGGCATATCTGCTAAAAGCCCCATCACAATATCATCATGCCTCATGTATCTAACCAGAGTGGGGAGTCTATCACAGAACAACTGTCAAGTTAAAACTGGATCATCACTGTCCAAATGAAGGCAACTTCTCAATTTCCTTTTTCCTTTCTCTACTTCTTGTCACCCTCCCACAAATGAATATGATTACCCATGCCAAGAATATACAGCTTAGAAATAAGATCAGGAAGAAAAGCAAAAATGAAAAAGAAAGGCCTAGGAGAACAGGAAAGCAGAGAAAGTGATTAAAAAGCAGAACCACTTGACTGACAATCATTCATACAATAAACAAACTCTGTCAGCTGCTCTACAACAAATATTCTATTAACTGCTCAATGTTGTTGTCTCTAATTCTTAGAACCAGTGTACAAAATAGACATTATTATTCCCATTAGACAGAACAGGAAACCAAGACAAAGTGACTTGCCCAAGGCCACATGGCCAGTGTCTTAGTCCATTTGTGTTGCTATAAAGTAATACCTGAGACTGGGTGATTTATAAAGAAAAGAGGTTTATTCGACTCATGGTTCTGTACTCTGTAAAAGAAGCATGGTGCCAGCATCTGCATCTGATGAGAGCCTCTAGAAGATTCCACCCATGGGGGAAGGCAACGGGGAGCTGCATATGCAGATCACGTGGCAAGAAAGGAAGCAAGAGAGAGAGGATGGAGGTGCCAGGCTTTTTTAAACAACCAGCTCTCATGAAAACTAACAGAGTGAGAACTTACTCATTACTGTGAGGACAGCACCAAGCTATTCATGACAGATTTGCCTCCACAATCTAAACACCTCCCCTTAGGCCCCACCTTCAAATAAATTTCAACATGAAATTTGGATGGGTCAAATATCCAAACCATAGCAGCCAATTAATGGTAAGTTAGGACTTGAATCCTACCCTCAATAGTAACAAAAATCTTTTTTTTTTTTTTTTTTTTTGAGACGGAGTCTCGTTCTGTCACCCAGGCTGGAGTGCAGTGAGGTGATCTTGGCTCACTGCAAGCTCCGCCTCCTGGGTTTACGCCATTCTTGAGTAGCTGGGACTACAGGCACCCACCACCACACCTGGCTAACTTTTTGCATTTTTAGTAGAGATGGGGTTTCACCGTCTTGATCTCCTGACCTTGTGATCCGCCTGCCTCAGCCTCCCAAAGTGCTGGGATTACAAGCATGAGCCACCATGCCCGGCCAACAAAAGTCTTCTTAATAGTCCCTTCTACTTCTCTAGACTCTGGCAGGTGTGGGGCCCTGTATATAGAAACCGAGGTTGGCTCTTGCCCTCAAGGAGCATATTGTCTAATGGGAAGGAAAGACAAAAGCAAGTAATGATGATACAATGTGAAAACATGCTCTCCAAGGCTAAAACAATGTGTTTTGGGAGCTCCAAGGAGGAAAGGTCTCAACCCAGCAGCAGAGAAAGCTTCACAGAAGCAGCAATATAAGAGTTGTGTACTGAAGGATGAGTAAGTTTACCAACCAGAAGGCCAGCCACAGTGGCTCACGCCTGTAATCCCAACATCTTGGGAGGCCAAGGCAGGCAGATCATTTGAGGTCAGGAGTTCAAGACCAGCTTGGCCAACATGGTGAAACCCCATATGTACTAAAAATACAAAAATTAGCCAAGCATGGTGGCATAGGCATGTAATCCCAGCTACTCAGGAGGCTGAGATAGGAGAATCACTTGAAACCAGGAGGCAGAGGTTGCAGTGAGCTGAGATTGCACCACTACACTCCAACCTGGGTGACAGAGTGAGACTCCATCTCAAAAATAAATAAACAAGTAAATAAAAATAAAAAGAGTTCATCAGCCAGAAAAGAGGGAAATGGGCATCCACTATTGGGGTAGTCATGCAAACAGAAGCACAGAGGTAGGAAAGATCCTCGCATGTTGAAGGTGGTAAGGTGGGAGATACGTAACTGAACTGTGAGAGAACTAGAACCGGGCTGAAGAGAAAGACCAGGGGCTGATTGTGAAAATTTTTGTCTGACGTGCTATGGAGAGTGGGGAAGCTTCTGTAGACAAATTTCAGGCAAAAAGAGGTGGGTGAGGCAGCTGCTGCACCAGGACGGATTAAAGAAGATGAGGAATAAAAACAATGGGATGAGCTGAAGGCACACTCATGGGGTGGGGACATCCTGGGAGACAAGGACGTCCAAGTCTGACATGAAACATGAAGAAAAGATGATGTCTGTTCAAGAGTTCCAATGAGGCAAAACAGCCTACTAGAGAAAGCAATTAAGGATCCTCAATATTTAGGATTCTGAAGTGAAAACAGAGGAATCCAAAAACATACATAAAGTAAGAAAAAGCGAGAGAAAATTTCAAAAGTGAAAATGATGGAGATTAGCACAAGACCTCCAGCAGAGATCAACAGAACCCAAAATATAAATGGTCAAGACTCAATATTCTATGTTTTAAGGGGAGCTGCACTAAGAGGGGTAAGAAATTGAAAGCAACCAAAAAATAAAAACAAACACACTAAGTCTGTTTTAGAGATAAGGCCATTGGACCATGGAATACACCCAAGGACATCAGAAGGGCCATCAGGCACCATCAGTAAGAGCAGATGATGGCAGCCAAGCCAACTTGAGTAGTAGAGATGGTTCATATTACTGCAGGGACAGGGGTTAGGCCCACAAGGTGGTTTTCTGCATTTTCCCCTGGGAGATGCATCGTAAATCATACACAGGCATGGGTGCCAGGGTACAACCCAGGAAACACTGAGACCTGCAGTAACAGCACAACTTCCTTGTAATCTTCACTATTGCTCCCATGATGCTGGCTCCAAGTCATGACTCATACTTAGGAATCAAATGTTCTCCCAGAAACACTGTTTTAATTACACATGCCACTTAAACAGAAAGGAAGGCCATACCTTCCCATTGATGGAGGCAGAGGCTTAAAGCTCAGCCAATCCTCTGTCTGAAGGATTCAGGAAATTTCCCGGTAAGACAAGGTAGAGAATGAACACTATATCTCCTGCTAAATGAAAGGAAGGACATTGGTTGACCAAAGCCAGAGAGACGGAGGAAGGGAGGGAGGAAGGGAAAGAAGGCTGATCCACAGATCAAGCTACTAGGAAATCAAGGAGGAATTTTAAGTGTTAGAGCTTCAAGGTTCCTCAGAGATCATTTTATCCAACTTCCTGTTTTATAGATAAGGAAAACGGGCCAAAATAAGGAAAACACCTTTAGATTCACATAACACATTGGTAGGAGAGAGAGGGAAGTGGTGGAACAAGGGTACATCACACCTTCCCATTCCAAGATGCTGCTTTTGCCAGGGTCTACTATCCAAGTCCTCAGATAAACCAGCCCCTTCTTTCACCAGTGGATTCAAACCCATGTTGGGGAAGGAAAGAGATAAGGAGAAGTAAATGGGAGATAAAGCAGCCACACTCTAGTTCTGGAATACTCCGAATTATTGATTTTGGTGGTGGATGGATGGCCCCTTTCAGCTGCACTCTCAGCGCCTGCTCCTGTTTTATGGGTGTTTCCAGTGTGCCTCAAATTATCTTGCCTCTTATGAAAATACAGGAACAATTACATACAAGCCTATTCAGAAGGGACAATTAGCTATTTACATCAGCAAAGAAATGACAGTGGGCTCTTCCTGACAGATGCCATCCTCACACTGTGTTAGAGCAGAGAGGGACCTTGTTCTGGAAACTGTCCAATAGCTGGAAGGAGACACCTCCTCTGTTATTGTAGTGTCTTTCTTGCATTTCTGAGCCTGAGCTTTCTAGACTTCTCAAAATGCTATCCAGCAATTGGCAGACCCATCAATTGAGGATATTGGCTCCTCATCACCTGGTCTCCTTTGGGAGGGGTACACAGGATAGTTGCAATTGGTTTTTAGGACAGCCACATGCAGAAACAAATGGTAGTCAGACTATGCAGCAGTATAATGAGCATCATTTCCTCATGATACTTTTATGATATAGAAGGAAATAAAGAAGTGAATCTGTGGATGGTAATAAAGTAAAGAATAGAGAAACAATGGATCAAGATGGAAAGGAATGCAATGAGAAATAGATTAAATGCATAATCAAAGCTTAGGAATAAACTCCTGATGAATCAAAATGACCATAATTTAAAAACAAAAATAGATCTGCTGAATTTCAATTTGAACAAGCCATTCACCACATAAAAAATAAACATACAGTATTTCAATCTTAGAATTTAAGCCCTATTTTCAAATCAATTAATCAAATACTCATGCCTGCCAACTCTGGCACTAGACATGGTAGGACATAGGAGGGAAAGATAAAATAAACCAGTATCCTTATCCAAAGTAGCTCGAAATCCAATTTGTACAAACAAGGTGTACATGACTGAATTAGTGAAAAGGAGAATTTATACAGTGAGAAGCAGAAGCAAATAGGGCAGTGACACAGCAACACCACATGTTTCTTCTAGTGACCAGAGTAACTACCTGAGTGTCAATTTTCTTTGTATTGAAAAAAGGGTGAATACAGAGTGACTTGTGCTTCACTTTAAATAGAAAAGTATTTAATCTATCAATGTAACTTTAAAAGTCAAATTGGGCAAAACTACAAATTAGTCTTCCATGCTTTAGTCTATATACCTGTGCTAGAGTGCTCTTTCCAAAACAAAAATCTCATCTCATACTCTTGTTGAAAGAAGGAAAGAGGGAAGAAGGGAGGGAGGGAGAAAGGGAGGGAGGGAGGGAGAGAGGGAGGGAGGAAGGGAAAAAGAAAGGGAAAGGGAAAGGGAAAGGGGGAGGGGAAGGGAAGGAAGGGAAGGAGGGTAGGAAGGGAAGGAAAGCAAGGGAATGGAGAATAAAAAACTTTAATATTCCCTCATTGCTTACAAAACAAAATCCAAATTCTTTAGCATGGTTTATAAAACTCAGTCCAGCTCCGTGGCCTAGCCTCTGCCTAACCAAGTTCATTCTCATAATATGCTGCTAAATTTAAAAGTAGACTACAGAGCAACATGTACATTCACACTAAGTGAATAAGCCTGTCAGAGAAGGGGCAAATAGTATATGCTTCCACTTGTATGAAATACCTGGAACAGGAAATTCATAGACTCAAAAAAGTAAATTGAAAGTTACTAGGGGCTGGGGGATTGGGAAATGGAGAGCTATTGCTAAGTGGTTAGAGAGCTCCCGTATGCGGTGATAACAAAGCTTGAAAAATAGTGTCGAGCTGTCAATAGCTGTACAACACTGTGAATGTAATTAATACCATTAGATTGCACACTTAAAATGGTTAAAAATTTTATGTCAAATGTTATGTTACACATATATAAACACAATTTTAAAAAATTAATAATGTAACATACCAAAAACCATTGAATTGTTCACTTTAAATGGGTGAACTGTATTAACTCTATTTAAATAAGCTGTTACAAATGTACAATATGTACATACAATACTAATGTAGGAGAAAGGCAGAGGAAGATTCTCCTAACTGCTAACAGAGATTACCTCTGGATGGCAAGATGCAGGGGATCCTGTTTTCTGAGCTTTCCTACATTTCCCAAATTTTTATTAGAACTTTGCTTTGTGCTACTTTTGTATCCATAAGAGAAGAATAATTGCCATTTTTAAAATGTTAAAACTTTAAGCAAGATAAAAATAAGATATAAGCCTTAATCTTCTCCCGTTGGGGCTCATAACACATGGTGGTGGAATGCCAGAAGGGACCCTGGGCACTCAGTACTGCCTGCATTCTTCTTCGCTGGGTGAGCCTCTGGCCACATGAATGTCTGTGCTTATGATGCTGGTGGCCCAAAGAGCTTAATGATGCAACCAGGGACTCTGCAGGAAGACTGCTGGAGTTCCACCACTCACCAAGTACCTCTCATAGCCTATGTTTCCTCATCGGAACAATGGGATAATAATGTTATTTACTTCATAAGGTTATCAAAAAAGTAAATGAGATAATTTACATGAAGTGTTTAAAACAATGTCTGATACCCAGTATTCTGACCTAAGTGTTTCATCAATGATTGGCGGCTATTATTTTTACTGCTGCTGTTGCTCTATTACACTGATGTGAGTACAGTCATGTGCTGCATAATGACATTTTAATCAGTGACTGTATATAAGACAATGGTCTCATCAGATTATAGACTGTATTTTTCCTATATCTTATCTATATTTTGATATGTTCAGACACTTAAATACTAATCACTACGTTACAATTGCCTACAGTATTCAGTACAGTAACCTGCTATACAGGTTTGTAGCCTAGGAGCAATAGGTTATCTCATATAGCCTAGGTGTGTAGAAGGCTCTACCAACTAGGTTTGTGTAAGTACACTCGACAACGTTTGCACAATGACAAAATCAGCTAACAACACGTTTCTCAGAATATATCCAGTCATTAAGTGATGCATGGCTGCATTTGTTATCTATCCTCTACCAGAGCAGGGATTGGCAAACCATGGCCAAAGGGCCAAATCCAACCCATCACCTGTTTTGTATGGTCCACAAGCTAAGAATGTTTTTAAATTTTTAAATGCTTGGAAAAAACACAATAGTATGTTATTTCATGACACACAGAAATTATATAAAATTCAAATTCCAGTGTTAATAATAAAGTTTAATTGGAACACAGACACTCCTATTTATTTATGTATTACCTATGTCTGCTTTCATGCACTTGGGACAAAGCCTGTCTAGCCTGCAAAGCCTAAAATGTTCATTATCCGCCCCTTGACAGAACTTACTTGCTGGGGAATAAATTCTGAAAGTAAAGACCAGCTCTTGTTCATTTAGAGTTAATTCATGGTTAGATTAGATTGGAGTTCATATTTACTGAGAGACTAAATATACAAATGGACATGGCCAGACCATGTATAACAGAACTCTGACCTACAACCTCTGCAGCAACCAGCCTGGGAAGCCAGGCCACAACCTCTGCAGCAATCTGCCCAGAATGATCAGGGTTTAGTCAGTGACTGCCAGCTTCCTTACTTTTTGTCCCTTCCTCCAACCAAATATTCTCCCCAAACCAATCATGTAAGATACTCTGCTTCTAGTTAGCCCGCCTCCAGCTTCCTCATGCCAGCAACCTCTGATCACAGCACATGTATCCGAAACCTTCTCTTTTTCACTGTAAGAAGTCCAAAAAGCTTTCCCATTCCACTGCCTGCCTTTGAGTCTCTGCCAAACACTAAGGATGGCAGCAGCCTCTCTTGCAATAGCAAACTCTGAATAAATAGCATCTGTTTGGTCTCCTTTGGGTGGTCTTTGTTTATTTCCAGTTAACCCGGACACCCCCCAAAGATACAATCTACACTGCCTATCACCATGGACTCTAGTCTTAACCAGGAGTGGCACCCATGAGGCCCCTTGTGCCTTGCTGTTTGCAGGCTCTCACAGGCTGTCAGGTCTGTGACAACGTGGTAAGTTAGCACTGTGTCTGATTCCATTCTCTGGGCATTGAGTTCTTTGGCTGTTTATTTTCCTCTTGGTAATACCAGGTTTTGTTATTGGCTCCCATTTGTTTGGAGGAATCAAGCCATTCCTTTTCATCCATGTTTGCTCCCTTTTGTCCTTCTATTTTGCATTGTGCTGTCTCCGTGTTGTTTGCCATGAAGACAATCACAGGGTAGAACACAGGCACAGGCCCTATAAGCCTGTTGTCTAAGCCGGCTTTACAGACTGATAATTCTGTGGTTCTCACCAGATCAGCATCCACTTGGACAAACGTTTCTGTGACTCACCAATAAAACTGGATAGGATTCTCCTTCCATCTCTATTTTCTGTCCTGAGAGCTTGGCTCTAATCCAGAGAGAACATTCTCTGGTTTTCTTGTTGGGAGGGCGCAGATTGCCAGGTCAGCATTTGAAGGCATCCACTTGTGAGGTGGGGGCTCTGAGACACTAAGCAAACAAGCATCACTTTCACCAACTGCTGGGACCTCTCATGGGATTATATGTAAGTCTAATTCTTCTCCAGAAAAAAACTCTTGCTTCTTATATGTACTGTCACTACAATCCTAATTATTGTGCCTATCATACCTCATTTCATCAATGTCATCTTCAGTGGATACTCTAAGCAACATGAGCCTTAAACAAAACTGCTTATTTGAAAGGGGCTTAGGGGAAAAAGGGAATAAGATTGCTCAGGCCCAATGGGCAGCATTTTTTTTTTTTTATTAGCATGCAGAAGCCTCCAAACAGCATTCTGATTCAAAATGGTTCACAAAAGATTATTTGAACAATCTTAAATAACACAAACTAGATTCATTTCCCTAGTAAATTCTCCCCCGCCTTGTCTTTTAGTTGCCTCTCTATACCCAGTGCCCTCTTCCCCCTTATCCTGATCTATCTCCTTCTGCACCTCTCTCAACTCTTCTCTTTGTCAAAACTCCCTTCCTTTTCCCAACAACTCTCCTAAGGCCCCAAGATGCCACTTGCATTTAAAGATCCATCCCACCCATGGGCCAGGCATTCAGACCACTGTGGAATTTAAACCTTGGTCTTGAGCTGAATGAAGAGCTAGCAACTATTTATAGAAGAATCCTAGACAAGACCAGCCACTATTTATAGAAGAATCTATAATTCTTTTGAGTGCATTTGACTCAGGGTTACCAAACTTTATCAAGCTGCAAACATTGATTGGAATCTAAATCCTGAATAGCAAAAGCTAATTGGACTATCCCAGAAAAAGATCTATGGAATTTCTCTTTTCACAATTAAAAAAAATCAAGAGCTGAGATGGGAGGACTGTTTGAGCCCAGGAGTTAAAAACAAAAACAAAAACAAAAAAAGAGGTTGAGGTAGGAGTATTGCTTGAGCCCAGGAGAGACTCCATCTCTCTTTAAAAAAAAAAAAAAAAAAAAAGTGTAAAAGGTAGGACAAATTTTTCTAAAAGTCATACCCAAAACATTTCCAATAAAAGTAGACTTGACCAAAAACTATCTACTGGGTACTATGCTCAGTACCTGGGTGACGGGATCAATCATACTCCAAACCTGTGTATCACTCAATATACCCATGTAACAAACCTGCACATGTACCCCTTGAATCTACAATAAAAGTTGAAATTATTCTTTTTTTTTTAAAAAAAAAAAAAAAGCAAATGTAGACCAGCTAAGATCGGTCATACATCATGGGATATTAATTATCAATTTCTATTGGGTAAAAGTTCAGGAATATTCACTCAGACTATTTGCCACCTCTTTTCATGGTTTTTCAGAGATCATTGGTAGCTCTTAATTGGGAAAACATTTAGCCCCATTTATTGGAAGGATATAAAATAAAGCCACCCCAGATGTTTTTTAAAATAGACTTGACCATAATACAGTCATACCAACAGACAAAAGATTAAACTGTAGGAGATTTCAGGCTAGACGAGAAGATAACCTTCAACAACATGCAAGAGTTAAAGGTGCTGATCTAACAGCAGCTCTTTCATCTTGGCCAAAAGTACTACCATTAGTCCTTATGGCCATGCAATCCACTCCCTCAAGGACACATTGGCTATCCTCCTATGAATGGGTAATTGGAAGGCCCATGTGTTCAGGGATTTCATCTCGAATTCTAGTAGTTCTGTCCTGCTGCACACAGATGTGGCAAAATATTACAACGGAATCATGTACTATGCCCAGCTTGTCAAAAACAGGTTAAGGCCCCCTTCCCACAACATCGTCCTAAATAGCATCTTTATAATCTTCTTGTCTATTGAGAAAAAAAAAATCAGAAAAAAAAAACCTGTTTTTGAATCTTGTTGGAAGAGACCTTATCCGGTACTGTTAGCAATAAATATAGCAGTGAAATTCTAAGGAGTCAATTCCTGGGTTCACAACTACAGAAGCAATGCAGAATTCCACAGAACTGGAAGGCTACTCCATAATAGGACCTCAAGGGAGGATTCTCAGAGATCCTCTAGAAGTCGCCAGCTTTCAGAAGCACACAGCTGATGACCTCACATAGGGGACAGCTTCTACCCAAGGCAGCGGGCCAAGAACCCTGTCTAATTCTGGTTTTGTTTTTCATCCACCTCCACGTGATCATTCTTCTCATCTTCTGTAGAGTCCTAGTTGTTGTCCACTCATAATGGAACTTTTTCTCTGTTCTTTCCTCTTCTTTATAATTTTTGGTTCAGAAAATACTCATTCTTAGATTATCCCAAACAGTACCCACTCCTTTGATCTTACTGATTTCTGAACACACTGTCTATCACTGGATCCCCATGATAAAATCCTCCAGGCAATTCCAGTCTCATGCAATAAGACCATAGGAAAATACAGTCAATGGCATCTCCATTTACACCTATAGGAACAAATGACCTTAAACAAATCAACCTATGACTTTGCTACTCTCCCTCTCTGCCACAAAAAAGGACTAATTATTACAATCTATTATTCAGACTCTAGTCCCACATTTGAATTCAACACATTTCCTACAGTGATAGTACAGATACTTGCTACCTAGAGGAGACTCTTAGAGATTCGAAGATGTAACCCAGCTAACCAGATGCTCCGGTTGTAACTTTGTGTCATAAATAAATAAATCTTTTTGTCCTGTATCTCCATGAGCACCTACTGGATACTACTTTTTTTTTTTTTTTGAGACGGAGTCTCGCTCTTTTGCCAGGCTGGAGTGCAGTGGCACAATCTCAGCTCACTGCAACCTCTGCCTCCCGGATTCAAGCAATTCTCCTGCCTCAGCCTCCTGAGTATCTGGGACTACAGGTGCACGCCATCACGCCCGGCTAATTTTTGTATTTTTAGTAGAGACGGGGTTTCACCATTTTGGCCAGGATGGTCTCGATCTCTTGACCTCATGATCCACCTGCCTTGGCCTCCCAAAGAGCTGGGATTATAGGCATGAGCCACCACGCCCGGCCTGGATACTACTTCTTTTATGGCCAAGAAGCCTAATCCCGCTTGCCTCAGACTAATACCTCATGCACTTTAGGAATCATATTCCAAGACTTGTCCAGGCACAGGGACTGTAAGTCTATAAATTGCTAAGGCTGTATGTCAACTCCAAAATAAGGCCACCCTTGATTATTCAGGCACTCCACCTGGGGAAATTAATGACTCATTCTTTATGCAAACAATCAGAGCAGTGTTCCCAATGATGGAAATCTTAGAAACATCAGGAAGAAACCTATTGCTAACTCTGGCAAAAGTTATTAATAATACTACCTCTGCCCTGGATGGAATACAGATCATTCCCAATTCATTGGCACAGATAGTGATGGACAATTGCATTGCTCCGGATTTCTTGTTGGCTGGTCGTGGTGGCATGTGTGTCATTGCTAATACTGCCTTTTGGACTGGGATCAAGGAAGTAGGAAAGACAGAACAGACTAAACACTGCCTGAAGGAAACAGTTACTTGGCTTTCTAAGGTTGATCCTCATGGCCTATGGGATTTGTTCTCTTGGCCTTGGTTAAACAATTTGTGTTCCTGATTTGTTTGTTTGTTTGTTTGTTTTTTGGGTTTTGGTGGGGGTTTTTTTGTTTTTTTTTTTTTTTTTGAGACAGAGTCTTGCTTTGTCACCCAGGCTGTAGTGCAGTGGCGTGATCTTGGCTCACTGCAACCTCCGCCTCCCAGGTTCAAGCAATTCTCCTGCCTTAGCCTCCTGAGTAGCTGGGATTACAGGCATGCACCACCACACCCAGCTAATTTTTGTATGTTTAGTAGAGAAGGGGTTTCACCATGTTGGCAGGCTGGTCTCAAACTCCTGACGTCAGGTGATCTGCCTGCCTTGGCCTCCCAAAGTGTTGGGATTGCAGGCATGAGGCACTGCGCCCAGCCTTGCTTCCCTGGTTCTAAAGCAGCTTACAGAGACTATTAATTGTTCTCATTTTTGCCACAGTGGTCATAATGTTACTTATTGTGTTCTATATGGAGCCTTAAATGCTTCTGCACAACCAGTCTCTTATCAAATGACTGCCATGATTGAAATATAGTTTACTACGGAGACATCTGGATAATTTCTGAGAAGTGAAGATTCAGATTCTGGCTTTTCCAGAATTGGTCAGCCACTCACAAGCCAGAGAACGAAGAAAAGAAAGGACTGAAAGACCAAATAGGCAAAAGAACATAGCCAGACTATACAAGACAATAGAACACTGTCTCAAAACCTCTGCAGCAACCAGCAGCAAGAGCCAGGATTTAGTCAATGACTGCCAGTTTCTCTATTCTGTGCCCCTACTTCCAACTCAGGGCCTAGAAAAGGAAGCCAAATACTGCACTTTTAATTAGCCCATCTGCAGCTTCCCCAAGCCAGCAACCTCCAATCAAAAGGATATATATACCTGAAGGCTCCCCTTTTTGGATTGTAAAGCTTTCTCACTCTACCACCTGCCTGTGTCAAACACGACAAGTAATGTAAGCTTCCTCTCTTGTTATGGCAAGCTCTGAATCAATAACCTCTGTTCTCATTTGGGTAATCTTCATGTATTTCCACACTACACCCAACCACATGCATGCACACACAGTTAAAAATGGCAGGGCCTTGTGCAAGATACTAGAAATCCCAGCAGCCATATAAAGAGGGCCACTTTTCAGTGAGGCAGTACATTCTCACCTCTCTACCCCACCTCCCAAGGGCTCAGGTTCAGCTGCTACCACCTATTAATATCCCCTCCCTTGGCTAGCCTGTCATCCCACCACTGTACCCAGGCTTTGCTCAGACCTATGTCAGGGCATAGCCACAAATGGGTTACCAGTATGACTCCCATGCCATCACCCTCAGCAAGCATCTCTAGCCAGGCTCATCCTCATATGCTCACCCCAGACTGACATACAAATATTACCATCTTCTGTATACGCTATTGTTTGAGAAGCCTAGGAAAGCACTAAGGAGCCTCTGTGCCACCCAGCCCTGGGATCTCTCATGCTGTGTTTTAGCCTCTGCCCTGGGAAGGAATTTGTATGAGTCTATAGGGCTTCAACAAAATGCCCAAATGAGAGGCATATGTTGCTTGATGGGAAAGAGAGTTGCCCCACAAGAAAATGAGCTAAAGAGTCTGTGGTTAGAAGGTATTTCATGCTTTCAAATTCTGAGAACTGTACAAGCTGCAATGTGAGTCCAAACAGGGAGAGCCCTTATATTCTCACATTCCCACTGATGGTAAATTATATTGATTAACATTAGCAACATTAAATCATATTGCTAAGGCTAATTATTATAACAATACATCACCTAACATTAAATGAACTCTCACTATATTCCAGGCACAATTTCTAAATACTTCACATTTTTTTAATCACTTAATCCTCACAACAGCCTGAGAATGCAGACACTATTAATGAACGCTTTGTAAAGATTAGGAAACTGAAGCTAAGAAAATTATAACAAGGTGGCCAGGTGTGGTGGCTCACACCTATAATTCCAACACTTTGGGAGGCTGAGGCAGGCAGATCGCTTGAGCCCAGGAGTACAAGACCAGCTTGGGCAACATGGCAAAACCCCATCTCTACAAAAACTACAAAATAAGCCAGGTGTGGTATCGCGTGCCTGTTGTCCCCCGCTACTCAGGAGGCTGAGGTGGGAGGATCACTTGAATCCAGGAGGTGGAGGTTGCAGTAAGCTGAGATCACACCACTGCACACCAGCCTGGGTGACAGAGAGACACTCTGCCTTGAAAAAAAAGAAAGAAAAGAAAAGAAAATTAGAGCAAGGTCATACAGCAGAACAGGAGCTAGAACTGAGCTCTAATCTGTTAGACTTCATACTCTGAGCTATAACCGCTAATTCACAATGCTACTTAAAACCCATATTTGACTGACCACCTAACTAAGCAACTCAGGCAGGATGGCGTAATATGAATAATAACAAATACATACAAGAAAGAAGAAATGTATCATTATTCAGCAACTAAAAAGTAAATTCTAATTTATATCAAGTCAGCTGTTAATACTGTATCAATTCTAATTAGATACTTGTGTTGTACTTTGACAAATACAGAATGTAAATTCTTTTAGTGCTTCAATTTACTGTGGCTTTTGAATTAACTTTGCATCAGCAATTGTCTTCCAAATTATTTGAGATAACCACTAATTTCATATAAGTCTATTTTACACACCAAGACAGCATTTTATCAGCATTTTTCAGTCTCATATTAATGAGAATTTAACTAATATATGTAAATCACAATGATCCTATAAAATCACATGAAAGCCAGGCCGATATTCACCAAAAAAATCTAGAAATCACACTACCATTTGTGTGTTATTTCAGAAGAAGTAGGTTCAGTAACTTGCTACTTTTATACATAGTCAATTTCTATAAGCTAAAAAGAAGGAGGAATTTGAAAGTCAGTTGTCTATTCAATCTTAGGATGTGTTACTTCCTAAATTTGAATACAGGATATGAACAACCTGGGACATCACTGTATCACAAAAGCATACTTAAGGCTCAACAGGGGATTAGTTGGAGAGCTTCTTGGCTTTCCCATCTCACCATCCTCACCCCTCCCAATTTCATGCTGGAAACAGACAGCAGCACATTGGTGTAAAGCAAGAGTCAGCAAATTTTTCTGCAAAGGGCCAA